>NC_000020.11:1126941-1278456 GCF_000001405.40 Homo sapiens | reverse complement strand
ATCAGTATAGAAATATGTCAGAATTTACCACACTGTACTTTAGATATGTGAAGCTTGTATATCAACTATATTTCAATAAAGCTAGAAGGAGGAGGATGGGAAAGAGTGGAGGAAAGAAAACAGAAAGCATAGCAAACAGGAGTTGTCTTAGGAAGCCAGGCAAACAACACAAACAACACACATACACACAGACACTGACACACATACACAGATACACACACACAGACACTGACACACAAACACACACACAGACACTGACACAGAGACACAGATACACACACACAGACACACCGGCACAGACACACACACATAGGCACACACAGAGACACACACAGATACACACACAAACAGACACACACATAGGCACACACAGAGACACACACAGATACACACACAGACACACACACACAGGCACACATACACAGACACACATACATAGACACTGACACACACACAGACACACAGACACGCCACACACACAGATACACACAGACATACAGGCACAGACACACACAGGCACACACGCAGACACACACAGGCACACACACACACAGATACATACACAGACACATCGGCACAGACAGACACACAGGCACACACACGGACACACACACTGACACACACAGATACACAGACACACAGGCACAGACACACACAGGCACACATACACAGGCACACACAGAGACAGACACTGACACACACACACACAGACACACGACACACACAGATACACACACAGACACACAGGCACAGACAGACACACAGGCACACACATGGACACACACGGACACACACAGATACACAGACACACAGGCACAGACACACACACACAGGCACACATACACAGACACACACAGAGACAGACACTGACACACACACACAGACACACGACACACACACAGATACACACACAGACACACATGCACAGACAGACACACAGGCACACACACGGACACACATACAGATACACAGGCACAGACAGACACACACACAGGCATACACATGGACACACACACAGGCACACATACACAGACACACAGACACAGACATACACACACATAGACACAGACACACACAGACACAGGCACATACACATACACACACAGAGTATGAAACTCCCACATGGCCTCTAGTCCCAAGGAGTCCCTCAACCCAGGATTCCATCTGATAGGGACACCAAAGCTTCTTGTCATTTACTCAACATTTTTCTAGAATGTTTCTGTGTACCTGGTTTGTGCTGGGTACGGGGGTTCAGAGACAAATCAAACAATCCTTGCCCCAGGAAATTATTTCTAGCAGCCGTGGTATAGCCTTCCCCAAATTCAACCTAAACATTTCGCCACATGCCCCTAATATCCCAGCCAGATTCCCTTTCCAGGATCCCTTGGAGTCCTTCCTCCTGGGCCTGATTTTGTTTCTACCCTTGCCACCTCTTGGGAGAAAGCCTTCAATTAGTTCACAACTCCAGCAGAAGTCTGTCTTTTATCTGTGCAAAACAGACATCCAAGCCGAACCCCAACTGATTTCTAATAATTGACCAACGAGATCTGAGTCAAGTCTTCACAGAATCGCAAAAATTCTGGACAGGAAAGAATCTGAAGGTTTCAAAGCCCAACATCCATCTGACTGAAGTTCTGTTTCTCGGAATAACATTCCTGTTCTGCAGTCACCCGGACCCAGTTTGAATACCTCCAGTGAGGAGGGAGCTCACTGCCAAATGAAGATGTGTTGGCACTTTGGGAAAGTAGGGAAGTTATAAAGTGATTCCTATACAACACGGATGAAAGGGTACTGGCATTTATTAAGCACCTACTGTGTTTAATAAATAAAGCCCCTGGGCTAGGTAGGGGCTTTACACATAGAAGATTTCTAATCTAGTTTAATTCTCATGCCAGCTTTGCTGTCAGGAGGCCTACGTTATGATTATGATGCCCATTTTTACTATTGAGGTACTAAGGGTCAGATAAATTAAGTGACTTGCCCAGTCACAAAGTCAGTCCACGGCAGAGACGGAGACAGCAGTCCAAGTGTATCCAACTCCAACCTGCGCTCTCTGTTCCCAACCACTCAGAGAGCAGGGCAAGGGGGCCAGTGCTGCCTAGGCTTGGATCCTGGGCTTTTTCATCTGGATGGCTGGCCTCAGGGATTCCTTACAAAACTGACCTCTACCAGGCCTAACAACCTCTGAGGGCTTCTCTCTCAAACACACGGCCCCAGAGTGAGGAGCCCCCCTCCTGTGGAGGGGGAAGGGGCTCTCCAGAAGGAAGCCACAGACAGTTGGCTCAAATGGTCTACAGCTCCAATCTGGGCCCTGCGTGCCACCCAGGGAGGGCTGGTCTCTGCAGTCAGGGAACAGGAGGGTGTGGAGGGGTCAGGTCCTCTCCATCCTCTGAGAGCACAGAGCTTAGGCTGGTGACTAAGAGCCTGGGCTCTGTGAAGGAGCTGTGGGAGTTGGAAGTGGGTCCCCTGAAAGACAGTGTTTGAGCTGGGCCTTGAGACAGATCTGAACATGAGGAGATAGCAGTAGTAGTAGGAAGAAAATTTCAGGCAGAGGAAACAGGGCAAGTAAAAGTAATTGAGGTAGAAAGGAATGGCAGGGAGGAAATACTGCTGACTTGGGGTAGAACACGTCCAAGGGTCACTCAGGGACTTTTCTGAAGTCATAAACTATCAAAATGTCCTTCTCTAGCTCTTAGACCACCTCACTCCTATCAGGTCCAGGGCTAGCAACCTTGGTGTAAGAGCCCAGCTAAGCTTTGAGGAGGAAGGAATGCCCATTCACAGGCCTAAGAGAACAGAAATGGGGAGAGGAAGAGAATGAGAAAGCAAAATGAGGGGCAGGGAGAGTTTGGGCCCTGGAATCAGGTATTTGGTAGCTCAGCCACCATGTAACAGCTGTGGGCCATGGACAAATTGCTTAAATTTCCTATAACTCAGCTTCCTTTTCTATAATAATGCTTTCCTTACCTGGGCTGTCAGGAAGATGCTATAAGGTCACATATCCCCTGTGCCCGACATGTAGTGTAGCTGTTTTCATTAACCTGGACAAGAGTCGGGACTTAGAGGGTCAGAAAAGCAATCGAGGCCCATAGAGACAGGAGGAAGCAGTGTTCGTGGGGACATCTGCTATATACCAGGCTCTTTCCCACAGGGGACCACAACAGATCATCCCGTCTCCTCTCAGGCAGGAATAATCGATTTCTCTTTGGCAGATGAGAAAATGGCCCAGGGGGTAACACAATTTGTCTGAAGTCCCAGGCTAACAAGTGGCAGAACTGGAAATGAGCCAGGCCTGGCTCTGAGGAAGCGAGTGGCTCCCAGAAGGCCCAGGGTGGCTTAAATGGATGGAGCTGTGGCTCCTCCCCCTTTGGCTCTGAGCCCCAAAAGTGAGGCAGGTGGCCACTGCCAGAAGACGTAGTTTGCCTCATGACACTTGCCTCACAGAAGAGGTGATGTTTAGCGCACCCCTTCTCCCTCTGGGGCTGCACGTCCAAAGTCCGCCACTTCTGAAAGGGAGGCTGGAAGGGAGGCGAATCTTACAATGCATACAGAGGGGATGTGTGGGAAGCAAGACGGGGGAGGTGGTGCCAAACTGGCTGCCTAATGAGGCTTTGGGAAAGACGCAGGACCCAGGATTTACTGTACCTCTGCTTCCACCATTTTAAAAGCCAGAAAGGACAGGGAGCTGCCCTTTGCTGAAGGGCACCAGACCGATGGCCTAGCCAGACTAGAGAGCTCAGTGTCCTCAGACTCACAGTCCTTACACAGTCCTCTTCCGCTCCCTTCCCGAGTGCCAGCCTTTAGATCCTTTCTAGTTCCTCCTCTTCCTCCGGGAAGCCTTCTCAGATAGTCTCAACCTACAGCTATTCTTTCTCCTGGGAATGCCAGCAGCACCCACTGCTTGCCTCATCTGTGACCAGCCCTATACTAGGATTCCAGATCTTCTGGGTTACAGCTGTCAAGCACAGCCTTTCCAAACTCCATCCTATGGCAAGAATTCCTCCTAGAACATCCAGCCCTATGTGAGCAGCCCAGAGATGAGGTGCCAGCTCTCAAAACACATTGTTTTGTTACTAGATTTTTTTTTTTTTAGAATTTTCTCCCTTTCATCCCTTGAACTGAGCCAAAATTTGCCTTCCTTGCTGGCACTTGCAAGGACTGGTCTGGTATCTATCTCTCAGGGCATGCAGAAGCCCACACTCTCTCCCATGCCTGCACTTTGAATACCTTTACCCCTGAAAACTGCTATCCTGTCACTACGGTGCGGGAAGCTACATCCTGTATACCTGTGTCAGAGTCCCCACCCCACCACTTGTGCTTATATAACTTTGGGCCAGTTTCTTCTTTCTAGTGGTCCTAGTTTCCTCAACTATTAAAAAACTTCCTATCTTAGCAAGCAGCACAGTGCCTCACCTGTTGTGTGTGTTCAACAAATGGTAGTTATTTATTTTTTGTTCACCGATCACTTCTTTAGAGGCAGTATGGCTTAGAGGGAAGAACGCAGCTCTGATGCCAAAGAGACTGGCATCTAAGTGTAGGCTCTGCTACACAGCCGCTGTGTAACCTTGAACAAATTTCCTCCCCTCTCTGAGTCTCAGTGTCTTTCTCTATAAAACAAGGATAACATATGCTAAGTGGGCCCGGATTGGTTGACTGCTTCTTTTTTTCTCCGTCCCATCTTTACGTTGCCTTTCTTCTGCATCTGCCCAATTTTCCAGGCTACGAATAATGCAGCTATATCACTGTGTGGCAGGCACAGTGCTGAGTGCTTCAGATGAAGATTCAGTTCAGTTCCCATCCACCCTCTAAAACAGGTGCTATGAGGGCTAGCACCTCATACTCAGAAGACACACAGTCAAATGGCAGCTGTTGTTAATATTTCTATGTGTCAGGCCCTGTGCACCACCCACATTCCTTCCCTCCAACCAACCTAAACAGCTCCCTGAGGGTAGGGACCACATCTTGGTGCCTGTGTGTACAGCAGATCCTCAGTATATGTTGGTTGAATGAATGGTTGTAAATACTTCTTTGAATTCCTTCACCGTGGCCAGAATAGAACCTTACCATGATAGGTGCTTGATGAATATTTGATTAACTGGAGCCACAAAAAATGTGAACTGTCATCAGTGGCTTTAATCTGAATCCTAGAAGGCCCTGAAACCGTGGTAGGGTTTCTTCTGCTAATTAAGAGCTCCTCTGAGGTCCTTCTCTAAGAACACTCTAGGCTCTCTTTGCAACCAGATCCCAACTTTTCCTCTGCAGGGACCATGTGTCAGAGCTGTCCACAGAGAGACTGCTTGCTGTCCAGACCACAGCACAACCCAAGGAGAGGGTGGCAGAAGCTCTGCTGCAAGGCCGGCGTGGCTTCCAAAGAACAGGAACTACCCCACCCACTGAGGACCTGCCAGGAGTCTCTCTGCACCCCTCTTTCTCAAAGGTGGCTTCTGTGCCAGGCTGCACAGGCCACCAGCCAAGTTCCCTCTTCTGAAGCTGCCGACCAAGCTTCCAGAGACCCTGTGGTAGGGAGGCGTGGCTAGGGCCAGCTTCAAGGGGTACAGAGGTATCTGGAGGCCTCAGTCCCCAGAGACTCAATCCTGACAGTGCTGCCAAAAGGGAAGGGGCACCATCAGGGCCTTTGAAGCTGGGGGAGCCAGAAGCAGAAGATCACAAGCTGCCAAAGTCAGGCTAAATGCCCTAGCCATGCAAACAAGGCATTCCCTGGCCTAGGCTGCCTTTCCAGCCTTCCTTCCTTTCTCTGCCTTCATCTGTGGGCCAGCCAATAATGACTGAGCACTATGTGCCCAGCATCTAAAACTTTACATCTGAGGTCACAGACGGATGGCCGGTCACATACACATTTTAATATGTGCATTTAAAAATATTGCCTAATCAGCTACATTTTAAAAATTAGGAGATGTCACAAACAAATATGCAGATTTCTGTCTTATAAATCAGAAGATCTGACAACATTGGGCACATGTTCTTGTAGGCAAGAATGGTGAGAGCAGGATAGCAGCTGCCTCTTTCAAGCAAGCACTTTCCAATGTGCTACAATCCCCAAACAGCCCAACTGGCCTGTTTTACCTTTGTAGACAACTACATTTGACATCCCTTGCTTAACATATTTCATTTTGGTGTAAAGTCTTCCTAATGACCTTAGGAGACAACATCATTTCCCAGTTTTACAGGTGAGGAAACAGAAGCTCTGAGGGAAAAAAATAACTGGGCCAAAATTCAAACCCCAGCAGCCCAATTGCAGAGCCAAACACGAGAACACGAGTCTGTGGCAAAAATGAGGAAAATACAGACAATGCAGTGAGTTTTTAACAAAGCAAAATGTATTCAATTTGAAGGAATACCATTTTCCCCCTGATAACATGGCCTTCTTACTTGGGGGAATAGAAATATTAAAATGTTCTTTCTCTTATTTTATGATAGTGATGGTAAAGAGGACCCTAAGTGTCATCTGAATGTCCTCGTCTGGTAAAATAAAAAGCTAGCTAACCGAGGATGGATTCCCAAATGCACTGGTCTTTGTGAAATCTAAGTCCAAGACCCACTGCTCTGCTACAGACTTCCTGTCCCAGTATGACAGCAATCTTCTGTTACTCCTCTTGGTTAAAACAAAAAAACAAAAACTCATAACTTCATCTAACCATGTCTGCATCATTCTATTTTTGAAGAGGTGGCTTTTGAACTGAGTCTTTCCCAACCCCTCTCCCTCCAGCAAATCCACAAAGCATTTGTTCATGCCTTTTGTTATATTTATCTTATTCTTCCTCAAGTAACAATTATATGTATCCTATCCACCCTTTTACCCCCTAAAGTCATTACAGAACAGAAGAAAGACACTTTGGGAGGCCAAGGCAGATGGATTGCCTGAGGTCAGGAGTTCGAGACCAGCCTGGCTAACATGGTGAAACCCCCTCTCTACTAAAAATACAAAAATTTTCTGGGCATGGTGGCGCATGCCTATAGTCCCAGCTACTCAGGAGGCTGAGGAAGGAGAATCATTTGAACCCGGGAGGCAGAGGTTGCAGTGAGCCAAGATCATGCCACTGAACTCCAGCCTAGGTGACAGAGTAAGACTCTGCCTCCAAAAAACAAAAAGAAGAAGAAGAAGAAAGAGTTTCTGAATTGTTAGCCACTCAGAGCTAGAAGGGCTCTTAGATATCATCACCTCTGACTCCCATTTTGCAGGTGTGGAAAAGCAAAGGGTCTGACCTAAGGCCACCCAGTGGGTCAACGGCAGAGCTGGGGTGAGGACCCAAGTCTACTGACTCCTCGGTGCTGGCTCTTCCTGCTGTGCCAGGCTGCTTTCCAGCCACTCCCTTTTGGTTGGCTCAGCCCCTCAATTCAGAGGACAGTGCTGAGTATGCGACAAACACGTCATAAATATCTGTCCATTAATGCAAAGCAGCCTGGGGTGCACAGGCCTCAGCCTCTCCATGGCCCTTGGCTTGAGCTTCACATCACCTGCATCGAGACTTCCCACAGCACCAGCTGCCCATCAAATGGAGAACTGGCACCTGGGGCTTCTGGTGGCCTAGATGTAGAAAGACCCCATGTGGCTTAGAAATGCAATCCCCGTTAGGCCAGAGTTATGAACCAAGCCCTGCTGAGTAATCTTAGGCAAATGACTTCACCTCTCAGGTGTTAGGCGTTCCTCCAGACAGGTGGGATGCCTAGAATAGACATGAAGAAGAATTCCCCAAGCCTATCAGATGATTATAGGCACAAGACAGTCTTTGTCAGAGGAATTTCAAAATCCTGCTTCTAGAAGGCTTTAAGGACAGGAAAGGTTCTGGTCTACCTGGGACAAACAGATAGTTCCATCAAAATTGTGTTACAGCGTGAGCTTGGATAGTCCCCTAGACTCCATGTCCACCTTCTAGATTGATGAGGACAGGAGCCAACAAGTCTTTAGGGCTGTTTGGAAACATTCTAAATCGAGTAGAACCCTTTACTATTATTATTAAATTATTATTCACAAGCTCAATGCCAAAAATAGAGATGACAATGGCATCATCTCTCTAAAGCCTTCCTGACCCACTCAGTAGGAAAGATCATTCCCCTCTCTCTGTCCCCCCACCCCATCACACACATATCAGTATGTCTTATAGCTTCCAGATGTTTTCTCATATCTACACGTTTAGGTGTCTGTCTCCCTCTGTTAGATATGAGCTTCTTGAAACTAGGACTCACAATTTACTCTTTCCTGCATGCTATGCACTTAGCCCAGGGCCTAGCTAATAAATAAGGACAAATGCTGGTCAATGTTTAGCAAGTTAAGGAATCCCCTCCACCTCCAATACTGGAACAAGGGTGCATGTAGGCCTTTCGGAGCCAGTAGATGCATGCAGATCATTTGAGGGATGGGAACTCTTGGAGGGAAACTGGCTGACCCAAGGTTATTCAGTTATTGAGAGGGCTCAGACTAAAAGCAACCCTTTGGACACCCAGTCCAGTGCACTTCCAGCTAAACATTTTCTAGGTTCTATGATACACTGGTTGTACGACTCTGGGTAAGACCCTTCGCCTCTCTGCCCTGGCTTTCTCACTTATAAAAATGGGTAAATTTATATATAGTGCCTACATAATGGGATGATCTGAGCAGTAAATTATTGAACCTGTGTAAAACAGAGCACAACACATAAGAAGACTAAAAAAGTGTGTCTGTCCTGACTGTCATTCAGGCCTAACCATTATCCTCGGTAAAGGGGCATCCACCAAACATCAGCAAAGCAGGGCTCACGGTGAAAGGAAAACTCTCCATTCCTGGTTCACACAGTTTTCAACCAGGAAGTACCCTGCACCAATCACCTGGGAGAAATGCCTGATCTCTCACCGTAAATTGTTCACAGCTTCTTCTTCTCCAAACCCCTGTTCCCACCTGCAAGTGCACACACAGCTCACAGCATCAGCAAGGTATGCATGAAGAGGCAGCGAAACCTTTGGAAGGGGACGATGCAGACAGACCTGGTGTCGGATAGCAGTTCTAGCCGCGCAACCCTCAGCAAGTCACTTAGTCTCTCCAAGCCTCAGTCTCCCCATCTTTGAAATGGTCATAATTTTCTTTAAGGATTACCTGAGACAGTTAATGGTCTGGGACTTCATAAATGACGTTGAGGGTAATCATAGTTGTCTGATTTTTATTTAACAAAATCCACTCGACAGAATGTCAGAAGCAGAAGGGGTCTTAGAAATCACTTAGTCCAGTCCCATCATTATATAGATGGGCACACAGAGGCCTTGAGGGGAGGCCTGACTGGCCCAAGGTCACATAATAAGGCAGTGGTTCAATGGGACATGGGACCTGGGTCTCCTGACTTTCTACTGCATATCCATGTTGTCCCACTTGATTCTAATTACCTGCTCTCCTCCCTCAAACACAGAAAATGGCTAGAATCATTCCCTTCCCAATCCTCCTCCCTTCACAGTCATCTCACACCAGCTGGCACCATCTGGATCCCTTTTTGCCAACATCACCACCCTCCCAGGCACATCTGGCCCCTTTTGGTCTAGTCAGGAGCCCTAGAGGAGTAGGCGAAGCATCTGTTAATCACCAACAATAGCAATAATAACAGTAGCTGTAATAGCAATAATAATGACAACCAACAACCTGGACGATGTCCTACACTAAAAAGGGCTTTCACCTACATAATCAACACATTCCTACAGTTTCTCCCTAACCTAGTTGGCTTAGGGACATAATTTCCTCAAGTTTGTTTCATTCAACACTTACGGAGCACCTACTTTGGGCCTACTCATGGGCCAGAGGCTGGAGATAGAGAAAGGAAAATGATAGGGCCTCTGCCAAATAGGAATTTAGGGTGGGGGTGGGGGGACATGACAACTTCTTTTGGCCCAAATGGTGCAGCAGCAAAATTCCCCACCCAACCCTATGGAGAACCTCCTTTATCATGCTGTCAAAAGGCAGGAGGTATCTGGAATAAAGAGGAGCGAGAAAGGCTTGAGTGCTAGGCTGAAAATGACAGCAGGAAGGAAGATAAAGAATCGAAAATACAAGCACCAAAAACTTGACTGCCTGGCCTCAGGGTGACTCTAGGGAGACACTCCAGGGAGGGCAAGAGAGCCACAGTGGGATTCATGTGAGATCCGGAAGACCTGATCCCTGCCCTGCTGCCAGCACACAAGAATCTGCTGCTTCTGTTCCCTCAGAGACTCCGCCCTTGGATGCCAGGATTTTCCAAACCCAATGCTGGGCTACAGTCCTCCTTGGGACCATCATTTGCTAGAATGATGTCACAACCTTTGCAGTGGAAATGTTGCTGCCTGCCTAGGCCCTCAGCCTGGTGACCCAATACACTTCAGCATTCATTACCCCTGGCAGGGACACCATCTGCAGGGGTGTGGAAGAGACAGGCAGGGGATGGGGAGGAGAACAGGACTAAAAGCAGTCACCTCTTCCTCTCTTCCCCCAGCCTATCTCCCAAGTCCTGAGTTCCTGAGAACCTACTATGTGCCAGGCACAGGCACTATTTTAGGTGCTTCCACATACATCTCATTTAATTTTCACATCAGCCCTCTGCGGGCTGTACCCCTAGATTTACAGATGGAGAAACTGAGGCTGGGGGAAGGGAAGTCACTTGGCAGCTCAGGGATGTCAACATAGGACTGTCTGGCACCTCCAGCTCCTTGAGGCCCACAAGGTCAATGTTTCACTTAAGAAGTCAGAGTTGAAAGAGATCAACTGAGGAAACCCCAATTATTTCATGAAACTAAATTTAAATTGCCTTAGCAGAGGGGTCCCCCTGACATGTAAAAGCTGCTTGAGTGATATACTAAAATTATACACATCATTTAATCCAATTCCTGCATCTAACAGATGAGCAGACAGACACCCACGCCTAGAGAATTTTAAAATGGCTACTTGTGGCCAACTAGCAAGTTAAGGGCCTAGAACCCCAATCTCTGGCACTTTCCTTACACGACTCTGCCTGCAGAGATCACCTTTTTCTAAGAAGCTCCTCCAGCCCATCCCGACACCACCAGATGGGCAGAGAAGGCAGAGGAAACGGGCAGCATGTGACCGGCCTCTCTTTCAGTCTGCAGGGTTGGGGAAGGGAATATGGGGCTCCCCAGGCTAGTAGGTGTTGCAAACAGCCCAGATCCCGGCTGGGGAGTGGAAGGCTTCACATCCCAGGGAAGCTCCGGGGAGACGGAGGCTCAGATCGTCCACTCTAGGACTTATGGGCATTTTTTCCCCAGATCTACTGCAGGGCCCTGATGCTTCTCAGAGGGAAAGATGGGATGGAAGCAGTCATTGGCACTTGACCTTGGGGTGGGGGTGGGGTCTCATCCTTCTCCCACCCCCAGGTACCCCTGCTCCTCCTCCAAGAAGGAAAAGAGAAGCTTAAATGTTTGCCAAATGCCAGAAGGGGAAGACAAATAAAATTGGGGGGTGGGTTCCCTAAAAGCCTCCTAATCACCCACTTTGGGCATCTTCTCTGCTGCAATCAGCACCCTCTAATTCTTACATTTCAGGGAGGGGGAGGGAGGGAAGCGCTTAAAGGGATGTAGGGGAATGAAGGGAGGGTAAGAATGAGTCACGATTAACCCCTCTTAGGCTGGTGCCCTCCAAGGGATTCTACCGCAGCGAGCGGTTGCAAGCGGCCCCCACCTGCCGCGGTGCAGCGCAGGGCCAGCTCCCCGCTCCGCCGCGGCCTCCTCACCTGAGTCCACTGGCCCTCCGCAGCCCCGCCGGCTCGCACCACTCCGGCCCGGCTTGGCGCAGCGCCTCTGCAGTCGCTGCTGCAGCCGCCTGGCCCTGATCAGCGACCTGCGGGGTTAGGAAAAAGAGATAGACCGGGGCGGGTGAGCGCGGGCGGGGAACACCCAGGCAGCTGAGCCCCCGGCCGCTGACAGCTGGGCCGCTGCAGCCAGAAGGCTTGGAGGGCAGGCTGCCTGCCGGGTGCTCCGTCCCCTCCTCCTCGCGGCCCGCGGCCCCCACCCCACCCCCTGGCACTCGGCACTCTGGACTGCGGCGGGTGCAGCTGGGCGGTGGGCCCGGAGATCCCCGGGGTCCTTGTCATCACCTGCGGAGGCTTCCATGGCTTCAGCTGCCCTGCAGGGGCCGCCGAATTGCTCTCCCGAGCCCCTGCAGGAGGCGGCTAGCTGGGTGCTCGCCGGGGCTGGGGCTGCCGGGAGGGAGGGGCGGGGAGGGTGAGGTGGATGGAGGGGACCAGCCAGTCGGCGGCTCGCCGGCAGCTGCGTAAGCGGCCCGTCTTTACTTTCCTTCTTAAAGAGATAGTTAGTATCTTGCTCTAGAGGGCCTGGGAACAGAGACAACGAGCACACGGGGAGCGGCGGCCTCTCCCACCTACACACCAGCCGGTATTTTGAGCTGGGCGATCGATTGGGCGTGGTGGAAAGCGTCTTGGTCGGCTGTGTGACCCTGTGCAAGTCCCTTCACCTCTCTGGGCCTCAGCTTTTTCTTCTCTAACATGGGGTGATGATACCAGTCTCACTCCCTGGCACATAGTTGGCTCTAGTGAAATAGTAATTTTTATCTAAAAGCCTTTAGGAACATTTTTCATTGCCCAAACCAAGTCTGAGTACCAGGGGTATTTAATGTGAATGACAAGCACTTGGGCTACTAACAATGATAGCAGGAATCTTAAGTGTCTGAAAATGGAAATGTTTTCCTCTTAAGTAGTAAAAAGGTGAATCATTGGAAAGATCTCGGAGAGATAAACAATCACAACTTAAAATGTTAATTGTGGCTCTTTTCCCTCTGTCTTCCATCTGTCACAGGGAAAACAAGAAGACCAAAAAGTCCAAAAAACTGGATTTTCTGCCTAGCCCTTCCATTTCTAGCCATACAACTTTAGATAAGTTAACTCACTTTCTGGGCTTGGTTTCTTATCTGCTTCATGTGTGGGAAGTAGGTGGAGTGGGAATGGGCTCCTTCTTTCTGAACCAGGCCTGTCTGATCTGTCATTACTCTGCTCTAAACCATCCAGTGGTTTTCTGTATCGCTCTCCGCCACATGCCCTCATCTTACTCCAGCTCTCTGACTTCATCTTGCGTGGCTCTCCCCATCACTCACTTTTCTCCCATCAAGCTGTCCTTCTTGCTGAGGCCTCACTGCTGGGCCTTTGCATTTGCTGTCCCCTTTGCCTAGAACACACCAGAGAGCCACATGGTTCAATCCTTCCTTTCCTCCAGGTCTCTGCTCAAATGTTACTGTCTCAGAGAGGGCTTCCTTAACCATTCTACATAAAATACTAACTCCCTCCTCTCCACCTCCTTTGCCCCTAGTTTTGCTACACTTAATTACCAGCTGACATAGTGTATATTTACTATGTGTCATTTATCACTCCCACTAGAATGTACACTTCATGAGGGAAGGAACTTTGTTTTTTTCCCTTGCTGTATTTCCAGTGCCCAGAGCAGTGCCTAACACATAGTAGGAGCTCAATAAATATTGACTAAGTGAATGAGAAAGCAAGCACACATTGTGCCAGGCCCCAGTCTTCTATGGGAACACTAGGCCAGATGCCATCCTGGAAGTCCTTTTGTCTTAAGTCTCTTAAGGCTCTTAAGTCCTTAAGTCTGTTTACTCTCGCCGGTGCTGAACTTGGTACCCTCTACTCTCTGCCCCAAGCTGACTTTTCCAAGAGAAGAATTTGTAAAGTGACTTCACTGATTTACATCATGACTCTGCAGTACTGGCCTGGTGAGAAACAGTTAATATTGATAATGTACATGAAAAAATAATTATTTTAAGTTTACTGTTGCTTTTCACAGTCAAATCTTTTCCTGTATCTCTGAGCTGCAATAAATCCATTACTTTTTTTGCAACAAATGCTAATAAATTTTGGAGAGGACATTGATTCTATTTTCTCCTGTATTCCGTTAAACCATATCCTATCAGATAGCCATTATTATATTATGTTTTCTAGAAAAACATGGCAGAGCAATTTAGCAGGAATAGGAAACTAGTTGAAAAAGCCATGTGAAATGTTGAGGTCTTCTGTCCAAAACACCTAATGCTATATTAGCAAGTTAATTGATAAAATGTTTTATCTGCTCTAATGCTCACTGAAATTATATAAGTGACATTTTTACACTTAAAAGTGAAACCAAAGGAAGCCATGTAATTATTACATGTTTAGAAGGAGAACATTTCTGAGATTGTCATTAAAATATTTTTTTGTCTGTTCCCATGCTGTTTTGTTTATTAATAGAGATGGGGCTTTACTATGTCGCCCAGGCTGGTCTCCAACTCCTGGGCTTAAGCAATCCTCAGCCTCCCAAAGTGCTGGGATTACAGGCTTGAGCCACCATGCCTGGCTGTCCCATCCTCATGTGTGTATGTGTGTGGGGTTTTGTGTGGGGGTTTTTTTGGGTTTTTTTTTTTTTTTGCTTGGTACTTAGAAGACTACATTTCCCAGAAATCTCCACAAGGAACTTCCCCAAAGCAAGACAGTGACTTCACTCACATTACTCCCATCTGGAATGGTGTTAGCTAGTAAAGTATTCTCTTTATCATCAGGAAGCAGATGATTGAGAAGAGAACTGGTGTTTAGTTATAATGTAAATTGCAACAAATGAGGATTATAAGTATAAAACAAAATTATTCCTAATAAATTAGTAATTTTGTTTTGTTTTGGACTAGTTGAAAATACATTAAAAATTTTTTTAGTTTCAAAAACAATTGTATTCCAATTCTGGCTAAGCATACTCTCCCACAGAATGCAGCAATAAAACCTGAACAAAATGCATGTAGCAGCTATTTGAGGATTCTGAAGACAAAATACTAGCAGGCACACTGGGGAAGAAGCCAGAATTTGATATACCCTACCACTGAACTAGTGGTGAATTTATCATCTTTATTTCTTCCTATAACTCCTGTCCTGGTCTCAAGGCAGATCAAAATCTGGAATTGGGGCTCAATAAAGAGAAAGCTCCCAAAGAATCTCCCTAGTTTTGACTTGAAGATCAGGAAAAGGGACTTCTGATGCGCAGAGTATGTGGGAGATATCATTGTTCTTTTCCTTTCAAATCTTTTCTCCATTGTCTCATGACCCAGGCCCTAGGCCATCCTGCAGTGGTGTCTGTGACAGCAGGAACCCACAGGTGCCTAAAACTCTGAGGGAGGAGAAACTTCTTCAATAAAAGTAGCTGTAGTCCTGAGGGAGGGTGAGCCCCTGTTGTTGTTTTTTTGTCACTGTCCTCCTACCTCCTGGTCCCAGATGCAAGTTCAACTGTGGAAAGTAGGCAGCAAAGTGGAACAGAGTAAATAAAGCTCCAAACTCCAGCATTCTGGTGAACCCCAGAGAGAATAAATCAAATGATGATAATGATAATAATAATAGTTTTCAGTTACTGCTGAAAATTAAAAACAAAACAAGATCTTTAAAGCAGTCAGAGAAAAATGATGCATTAATAATACAGGAATAGGCTGGATGCAGTGGCTCACACTTGTAATCCCTGCACTTTGGGAGGCCAAGAGGCAGATTGCTTGAGCCCAGGAGTTTGAGACCAGCTTGGGCAACACGGCGAGACCCCACCTCTATAAAAAATACAAAAATCAGCTGTGTGTAGTGGCGTTTGCCTGTAGTCCCAGCTACTCGGGAGACTGAGGTGGGAGGATTGCTGGAGCCCGGGAGGTCGAGGTTGCAGTGAGCTATGACTGACTGTACCACTGCACTGTAGCCTGGGTGACAGAGCAAGATCCTGTGTCAAAAAAAAAAAAAAAATACAGGAATAATAATTTAAATAACTGTTGATTTCTTATCAGAAACCATGGAGGGCAGAAGAAAACAGAACAATTTTTTTTAATTGCTTAAAGAAAAGAGTTGTCAACCAGGATTTTGTACCCAGCAAAAATATCCTTCAGAAATGAAAGTGAAATAAACACATTCTCCAATTAAGGAAAATGAAGATAATCCATTGCCAGCACACTTGCTCTAAAAGAACTACTGAATTAAGTTCTTCAGACAAAAGGGACATTACATTAGAAAGAAATTTGGAACATCAAGAAGGAAGGAGAACAAAAATGGTAAATATTTGAGTAAATGTAATAGGCTATTCTTCTCTTGATCTTTTAAAACATGTTTGACAGTGGAAAGCAACAATTGTTGATGGGGGTTCAATGTGTGTAGATAAGACTAGTACAATATAAAGGAGGAGTATGTATATTCCTTTACAATATAAAGGGACCTATATGGTGTAAGATTTTTACACTCCTCTTGAAGTGGTAAAATATCAATTCTAAGTAGAGCATGAAAAGTTAAGTATGTATTTTGTAACCCCTAGAATAGCTATTTTTAAAATCTATGACAAAAAATATAGTAAAAAAAAAAAAAAAAAAACACCATAGGCCGGGTGCACTGGCTCATGCCTGTAATCCTGGCACTTTGGGAGGTAGAGGTGGGTGGATCACTTGAGGCCAGGAGTTCAAGATGAGCCTGTCCAACAGGTCTCTATTAAAAATATAAAACTTGGTCTGTACTAAAAATACAAAAATTAGCTGAGTGGGGTGGTTGTATACCTGTAATCTCAGCTACTCAGGAGGCTGAGGCATGGGAATTGCTTGAATCCAGGAGGGAGAGGTTGCAGTGAGCTAAGACTGCACCTCTGTACTCCAGCCTGGGCAACAGAGTGAGACTCTGTCAAAAAAAAAAAAAAAGAAGAAGAAGAAATAAAAATGGAATTCCAAATATTCCAAAAGAAGACAAGAAAGGGGAAAACAGAGGAATAAAAAATAAAGGGAACAAACAGTAAAAAAAATAAAATAAAATCCAAAAATCCTAAATAAATAAAATCTGAAATCCAAAAATGTCAATAATTACATTAAATATAAGTGATCTAAACACTTCAATTAAAACAGAGGTTATCCGAATGGATAAAAAAATGACTTTATTTGATGCAGTCTATAAGAAATTCACTTTAACTATAATGAATGATATAGGTAGGCTAAAAGTAAAAGATAAAAAAAGATATACCATACAAATACTTATCAAAGGAAAGCTGGAATAACTATATTAATATTAGAAAAAGTAGACTACAGAGCAAAAAATATTACCAGGAATAAAGAGAATTATTATAAAATAATAAAAGGGTCATTTCACCAAGAAGATGTAATAATTATAAATGTATATAACCTAATAAAAGAACTTCAAAATATATAAAGCAAAAACTGACAGAATGGAAAAGAGAAATAAACAGATCCACAATTATAGCTGGAGACACAAACACTTTTTCTCAGTAATTGATAGAACTAGTAGACAAAATAAACAAGGATGTAGAAGAACTAAACAACACTATGAACTAACTAGGTCCAACTGACATTTATAGAACACTCCACCTAACAAATGCAGAACAGAATTGATCCTTGAACAACACAGCTTTGAACTGTGTGTGTCCATTTCCATGTGGATTTTCTTCTGACTCTGCCATCTCCGAGACAGCAACACTAACTCCTCTTCCTCCTTCTCCTCCTCAGCCTACTCAGTGTGAAGACCATGAAGATGAAGACCTTTATGTTGATCCACTTCCACTTAATGAATAGAAAATATATTTATCTTCCTTATGATTTTCTTAATAACATTTTCTTTTCTCTAGCTTGCTTTATTGTAAGAATATAGTATATAATACATATACAACACATGTGCTAATTGACTGTTTATGTTATAGGTAAGACTTCTGGTCAACAGTAGGCTATTAGTAGTTAAGTTTTTGGGGAGTCAAAATGTATACACAAATTTTCAACTTAGTATAGGGTCATAAAATAAATCTTAATGAATCTGAAATAATTGAAATCATTTAAAGTATGTTCTCTTACCATAATGGAATTAAACTCAAAATCAATTACTGGAAATATCCCTTCGAAACTGAACATCCTATACCTCCAAATAATTTGCAGGTAAAAGACCTGCAAGTCTCAAGGGAAATTAGAAAATATTTTTAACAGAACAAAAGTGAAGATACAACGTATAAGTATCTGTGTGATGCAGCTAAAGCAGTGCCAAGAAGGAAACAGAGCTTTATGTGTTTATATTAGAAAAGAGGGAAGATCTCAAACCAGTTACCTAGAAGGAAACAGAGCTTTATGTGTTTATATTAGAAAAGAGGAAAGACCCCAAATCAGTTACCTAGAAGGAAACAGAGCTTTATGTGTTTATATTAGAAAAGAGGGAAGATCTCAAATCAGTTGCCTAGAAGGAAACAGAGCTTTATGTGTTTATATTAGAAAAGAGGGAAGATCTCAAACCAGTTACCTAGAAGGAAACAGAGCTTTATGTGTTTCTATTAGAAAAGAGGGAAGATACCAAATCAGTTACCAAGAAGCAGAGCTTTATGTGTTTATATTAGAAAAGAGGGAAGATCTCAAATCAGTTACCTAGAAGGAAACAGAGCTTTATGTGTTTATATTAGAAAAGAGCGAAGATCTCAAATCAGTTACCTAGAAGGAAACAGAGCTTTATGTGTTTATACTAGAAAAGAGGGAAGATCCCAAATCAGTTACCTAGAAGGAAACAGAGCTTTATGTGTTTATATTAGAAAAGAGGGAAGATCTCAAACCAGTTACCTAGAAGGAAACAGAGCTTTATGTGTTTATATTAGAAAAGAGGGAAGATCTCAAACCAGTTACCTAGAAGGAAACAGAGCTTTATGTGTTTATATTAGAAAAGAGGGAAGATCTCAAACCAGTTACCTAGAAGGAAACAGAGCTTTATGTGTTTATATTAGAAAAGAGGGAAGATCTCAAACCAGTTACCTAGAAGGAAACAGAGCTTTATGTGTTTATATTAGAAAAGAGGGAAGATCTCAAATCAGTTACCTAGAAGGAAACAGAGCTTTATGTGTTTATATTAGAAAAGAGGGAAGATCTCAAATCAGTTACCTAGAAGGAAACAGAGCTTTATGTGTTTATATTAGAAAAGAGGGAAGATCTCAAATCAGTTACCTAGAAGGAAACAGAGCTTTATGTGTTTATATTAGAAAAGAGGGAAGATCCCAAATCAGTTACCAAGAAGGAAACAGAGCTTTATGTGTTTATATTAGAAAAGAGGGATGATCCCAAATCAGTTACCTAGAAGGAAACAGAGCTTTATGTGTTTATATTATAAAAGAGGGAAGATCTCAAACCAGTTACCAAGAAGGAAACAGAGCTTTATGTGTTTATATTAGAAAAGAGGGAAGATACCAAATCAGTTACCAAGAAGCAGAGCTTTATGTGTTTATATTAGAAAAGAGGGAAGATCTCAAACCAGTTACCTAGAAGGAAACAGAGCTTTATGTGTTTATATTAGAAAAGAGGGAAGATCCCAAATCAGTTACCTAGAAGGAAACAGAGCTTTATGTGTTTATATTAGAAAAGAGGGAAGATCTCAAATCAGTTACCTAGAAGGAAACAGAGCTTTATGTGTTTATATTAGAAAAGAGGGAAGATCCCAAATCAGTTACCAAGAAGGAAACAGAGCTTTATGTGTTTATATTAGAAAAGAGGGATGATCCCAAATCAGTTACCTAGAAGGAAACAGAGCTTTATGTGTTTATATTATAAAAGAGGGAAGATCTCAAACCAGTTACCAAGAAGGAAACAAGAGCTTTATGTGTTTATATTAGAAAAGAGGGAAGATACCAAATCAGTTACCAAGAAGCAGAGCTTTATGTGTTTATATTAGAAAAGAGGGAAGATCTCAAACCAGTTACCTAGAAGGAAACAGAGCTTTATGTGTTTATATTAGAAAAGAGGGAAGATCCCAAATCAGTTACCTAGAAGGAAACAGAGCTTTATGTGTTTGTATTAGAAAAGAGGGAAGATCCCAAATCAGTTACCTAGAAGGAAACAGAGCTTTATGTGTTTGTATTAGAAAAGAGGGAAGATCCCAAACCAGTTACCTAGAAGGAAACAGAGCTTTATGTGTTTGTATTAGAAAAGAGGGAAGATCTCAAATCAGTTACCTAGAAGGAAACAGAGCTTTATGTGTTTATATTAGAAAAGAGGGAAGATCTCAAATCAGTTACCTAGAAGGAAACAGAGCTTTATGTGTTTATATTAGAAAAGAGGGAAGACCCCAAATCAGTTACCTAGAAGGAAACAGAGCTTTATGTGTTTATATTAGAAAAGAGGGAAGATCTCAAATCAGTTACCTAGAAGGAAACAGAGCTTTATGTGTTTATATTAGAAAAGAGGGAAGATCTCAAACCAGTTACCTAGAAGGAAACAGAGCTTTACGTGTTTATATTAGAAAAGAGGAAAGATCTCAAATCAGTTACCTAGAAGGAAACAGAGCTTTATGTGTTTATGTTAGAAAAGAGGGAAGATCTCAAATCAGTTATCTAAGCCTCCACCTTAATAAAACTAGAAAGAGCAAAATAAGCCCAAAGCAAGCCAAAGGACAATAATAATAAATGTAAAAGCAGGAATAAATGAAATGAAACAGAAAGCAGAAAAACAAAAGAGAAAATCTTTTAAAAGATCAATAAAATTAATAAGCCTCTAGCACAACTGAAAAGAGAAAACATATTAACAATGTCTGAAATGAAAGAGGGGTTATTACTATGGACCCCACAGACATTAAAAGGATAATAAGGGAATACTCTGAACAATTCTACACACATAAACTCACAAAAGTAGATGAAATAGACCAATTACTTAAAATAAGAAACTACCCAAACTCATTCAAAATGAAATAGGTAACTGAATAGTCCTACAACTAAAAAATTAAATTCATGGTTAAAAAAACTTTACAAAATATAAATATCCAGATCCACATTGTTTATGGGTGAATTCTATCAACTATTTCAAGAAGAAATAACACAAATATACACAATCTATTGTAGAAGAATAGAATATGAAGAAACACTTTCTAAGTTATTTTATGAGGCCAGTATAACCCTGATATCAAAACCAGAAAAAGACAGTAAAAGAAAAATACAGACCAATATCAGATGCAAAAATCCTTAATAAACTATTAGGAAATCCCCATGAAAGGATATTCAACATAATTAGTCATTAGGAAAATGCAAATCAAAACCATGAGATACTCACTAGGATGGCTATAATTTTTAAAAAGGAAAATAACAAGTATTGTCAAGGATATTAAGAAATTGGAACTCTGATATATTGCTGGTAGAAATGTACAATAGTGCAGCTACTTTGGAAAACAGTTTGACAGCTCCTCAAAAAGTTAAACATAAAGTTATCACATGACCTGGCAATTCCATGCCTAGGTATATAACCAAGAAAAATCAAAACTTATATACACAAAAACTTATATACTAATGTTGATAGCAGCATTATTCATAGTAGTTAAAAAGTGGAAACAATCAACATGTCCATCAGCTGATGAGTGGATAAACAAAATATGGTATATCCATACAATGGAATATTATTTGGCCATAAAAAGGAATGATGTAAAGATACATTCTAAAACATGGATAAAACCTGAAACTTTTATACTAGGTGAAAGGACCAGATACAAAAGGCAAAACATTGCCAGGAGTGGTGGCTCACACCTGTAATCCCAGCACTTTGGGAGGCCAAGGCAGGTGGATCATTTGAGGTCAGGAGTTCGAGTCTAGCCTGGCCAACATGGTGAAACCCCATCTCTACTAAAAATACAAAAACATTAGCTGGGCATGGTGGCATGCCCCTGTAATCCCAGTTACTCAGGAGGCTGAGGCAGGAGAATTGCTTGAACCTGGGAGGTCGATGCTGCAGTGAGCCAAGATCGTGCCACTGCAACTCCAGCTTGGGTAAAAAAAAAAAAAGGCAAAACATTGTTCAATTCCATTTATGTAAAATAAAAACACCTGGAACTAATTTTTGAGTTTAGCAAGGTCATAGGATACAAGATTAATCTATAAAAATTAACTGTATTAATGACAAAATTATAGAGATGGAGAACAGGTTAGTGGGTTTCAGGAGCCAGGGAGGACAGTAAGGAGGGAGATGGCTGTGGCTAACAAAGGGTAGCACAAGTGATCCTTGTGATGGAACTGTTTTGTTTCTTGACTATGGTGGTGCCCACACAGACCTACACATGCGATAAATTTGCATAGAATTAATACATACACAAAATAAGTGCATGTAAAACTGTGATGTCTGAATAAGCTGGGTGGATAGTGTCAATGCCAATTTCCTAGTTGTGTATTATATTAAAGTTATGCAAGATGTTACCACTGAGGTAAACTGATATATGGGATCTCTGTATTATTTCTCACAACTGCAGGTGAATCTACAATTATCTCAAAATAACAAGTAAACAAAAAATCAACTGGAACTCTCTTACATGGTTACTGGGAATGCAAAATGGTACATCCACTCTGGAAAATAATTTTGTAATTTCTTATAAAGTTAAACATATACTTGCTATATGGCCCAGCAATCCCATTTCTAGATATTTACCCTAGACAAATAAAAACTTATATCCAGACAAAAATGTACACAAATGTATGAAGCTCTATTAATAATTGTCAAAACTGGAAACAACTTAACATCTTTCAGTGGGTAAATGGATAAACTATGGTATATCTAGGCAACAGGATATTACTCAGCAATAAACAGGAACAAAGCACTGACACATGCAAGCACTTGATAAGTCTCAAAGACATTTATGAGTGAAAGAAGCCCGTATCGAAAGCTTACATGCTATATGATTCCATCTGTGTGACATTTTCAAAAAGACAAAAGTGTAGTCATGGAGAAGAGTGGTTGCCAGATGTTATATGGGGGAAGGGGGTTACTACAAAGGGATAACAGAATTTTTTAGGGTGATGTTACTGCTGGAATCCTAATTGTGGAGATGGTTACAGGACTCTACAAATATGTTAAAATTCACAGAACTGTGCACCAAAATTAAGAAGTCAAATTTTCTGTATGTTAATTTAAAAAATAAAAGAAATTTTAAAAAGGCAATTTTGCCATTTAAAATTTATAGTTAACACATTTAGAGAGGCTATTTAGAATTTGTTGTTTGCAGCATAATTCCAGATATAACAACATTTTAATGAGTACCATAGGCTTCATTTGACAGTGTATGATGGAGCTCACAGAGCATCATATGAAAATGTCCTAACTCAAACTTCAATTAAGAAAAAAGGAAAACAACAGTTTTAATGTCAAAAATGTTCAGTAAACACCAAACAAAAGAACATTTATTTTGGTGATCTTTACTCAGACCGTAGCTGCAAACAACATGAGGAACAAGTGTCTGCTAATTTTTTTAAACATAAGAAGCAGATTTAGTTTTGCTGACACATTAATGGTGATTATAATAATCATTAAATAGTAAATAAAAAAGTTAAGTGACCTATAAATAGACTAAAACCCACTCAGGCAATTTAAAGCAAAGATGAGCTTTGTAACTCTTCAATTAAAATATTGGATTAAAAACCATGGCATTATGTCAAATCAAGTATGATATACGTTGCAACCAAATAGTCTGTGTAGAAATAATGATGTTTTCATTAACCCCATAAAATTCAAGTAAATACTCCAATGTAAAATAGCCTTTTAAGAAACATCTTTGAATGTCTGTCAAAAACATACAGCATTTTAAAAATGCATGCTAAATGTATGCTAAGTGCAACATTCAAATCAGGGAAATGATAAATGCTATATATTCAAATCAGCTAAGTTAAAAATAATTACTTAGCTATAATTAAGTATTTCTGAGCCAGGTATGGTGGCATGTGCCTGTAGTCCCAGCTATTCAGGAGGCTGAGGCAGGAGAATCACTTGAACCCAGAGTTCAAGTCCAGCCTGGGCAATATAGTGAGACCTTTGTCCTTAAAAAAACAACAAAAAAAAACAAAACAGAATTTAAAGTATTTCTTTGTAAGCATGTAGGTTTCCAATTCTAGCTATGATTATTCTGAACTACAGAGAGGAAGTAGGTCAGCCTATCTATGAAATGGATCAGACCTTCAGCTGCTTCCAGATGGCTTCTGCATTAAATTGAACAATCTACACAGAAATTCCAGTGATGCCATAAATCTGTATGTCTGGGTTTCCTTCATATGTTATAAAACATTGGTCCCATCGTAGCTATAATATCTGCATAGGGAGCACTCTGGCTCAGCTCAATAGCCAGCTGTTTCTTTAGGACAAGAAAGCTATAAAATTTGGCAGCTGCTTGTTTTCGGTCACTATTTCTACAGAGCTTCATCAGACTAAAGGACTGCATTCCCATCTTGTTAGATTCCTGGGAAAATAATTAGAAAAGAAAAAAGAAATGGGAAACAAGATCATTAGAAGTAAAGCCGGCTATAAATGCGTAATAAACAACAAAATATTGACATTTTGGATAAATGACTATAAAATCCTTAAATGGAAAAAGGGAAATGACTCCTTAGTAAACATAAAAACAACACAAGTTACTGTACACAAGCTTGGTTCGTGAAGAACATGCATGCAAAAGAATTCCGAAGTGTTATATAAATTTATAATGTGTTATACAAATGATAGGCCTTTTTAAAATTGATGTTAACATAAATGGCTCCAGTGGAAAGGGCAATTAGTCTATATTTGCAGAGACAAAAAAATCCACAGGACTTTGGGAGGCTTCAAATACAATGAAAATGATCAGCCTATCAGTCTTCTTCTACTTAAAGGTACTATAGTGTTGGTGTTGACTATAAACAACTCCAGTTTCAGTGTCAGGGGATTATGACTATGTAAACAACTCCCAATTTCTTTGCACAGATTAAAAAGATGTCGGATTCACCACATGACATCTGTGTACCTACTGAAAATAACTGAGGTACAATAAAGTATTTTAATTATGGATGAAGATAACTCTTTTCATGAAGACTAGGATTTGGAATCAGAGTCCTAGAGTAGAAGTGTAATTTTTTAGTTAGAAATACTGCAGTGCGGCCAGGCGTGGTGGCTCACGCCTGTAATCCCAGCACTTTGGGAGGCCGAGGAGGGCAGATCGCTTGCAGTCAAGAGTTCGAGACCAGTCTGGCAAACATGGTGAAACCTTGTCTGTACTAAAAATACAAAAATTAGCTGGGCATGGTGGCACGCGCCTCTAATCCCAGCTATTCGGGAGGCTGAGGCAGAAGAATCGCTTGAAACCAGGAGGATGAGGTTGCAGTGAGCCGAGATCATGCCACTGCACTCTGGCCTGGGTGACAGTGATACCCTGTCACAAAAAAAGAAAAAAAGAAAAGAAGTACTGCAGTGAATACTGGCCAATGTCCCTATGAGAATCATACACGCTGGATAGTTGTGAAGCTTATTTAGAAATACCACATACAAGGTTTTGCTTGTCCATAACAGTCAACAAATTAATAAATTAAATACTTTGTCATACTTTATCTTAACCAAAGGCGTGGCCCAGGTTCAGTAACCTTTCAAAGATGGCATATCCAGCCTACATTTATTCCCTGCCTTGAGAGAAAAGATGAGAACTGGATGGCTTTTCCCCCCTGGGAGAGAATAAGGACAGTTTTTTCAATTTCAAGAATTATTTTGAAAAACCCTAAAGGGACAAATATGCAAGATTAAACATAAGCGTTTATTTGTGTTCCCTTCAGAAACCCTTCTGAAATGAAGGTAAAGGAAGAAAAAGTGACGAAGGAGATAAAGACAAAGAAAGTGGAAGACATAACTGACTTAGTAGAGTAGAGACAACTGAACCCTAAGTGCTGGCAGGGGGGAAGCCAGCAAAAAGCAAGCTGATTTGAGTGAGACACAGTACCTAGGAAAAGCTCAGGAATTGGAGACATCAGTGTGTCATAAACTGGGGAGAGGGATGAAGCTGAAAACAGGAGAATTCCTTGAGAATCTACTTAGGAACAGTAGCGGAGACCGCTACTCACACAGCAGAAGGCGTGAAGTTGCCCTTCTGGAGATAACAAGCATTGAGGCTTTGAACTTAGGGCACTAGTGCTGTGGATGGTGAAGTGTCATACCACAAACAGTGGGATTAAGGGAAATTCTACACTCTGAACAGTGAGATAACCAGCCTCTCCTTTACCTCCTTTTGGTTCCTGAGCCACTGGCATCATGCTTATATCTCCTAGGCAGTAGACTTAAAGATTATTCTGGAAAAGATGACTATTCTAAGGGAGAACAAAACCCAGTTATATAATACAATCTAGGGAAGGTGAGAGGTGCCACCCAATTACCTCAGTATAAAGACCATAAGTCTACAACCCCTACTCATGCGTATATAACTTCCAGTCAGTTTTTTGGTGTCTCTATCTTAAATAAAAGCAGATAATCCTAGGATCTACAAGACATTTGAGTAAAATCTCTAATATTAAAGAGCAAAAAGGAATACATTCAAGAAAATCACTAAGGAAAGATAATGCAGGGAGCAGAAGTGCAACCTCTGAAGTTAAGAAGTTTTTCATTGTACCCATGAAAAATGGCTAGGATAACAGTGAGAGGAAGCAGATCAGTGGTTGCTTGGGAATGGGGGTGCCAGTTGGAGGTATGCAAATGAGGGATTCAAAAGGGGCACAAGGAAAGTTTTTCTGGTTTGATATATGTTTACTCCTTGATTGTGGTGAAGGTTTTACAGTTGTACACATATGTCAAGACTTATATAATGCATACTTTAAATATAAATAGTTTACTGCATGTTAATCATATCTCAACAAAGCTGCTTTAGAAACCTAATTGAATAATTAAATAAAAATATTATGATGCTATAAAATAAAAGAATAGTTAGTAACCAAGAAAAAAAACTCCTGGAAAACAAAAAGGTGAAAGCAGATATAAAAATTCAGTAAAGTCTAGAAGACAAAGTTGAAGAAATCTAGAGGGTAGAAAAACACAAATACAAAGAAATTAATATAGAGGATAAAAGATGTTATTAAAATTAAAGGAGTAGTTCAGGAGATCCAACATCTGACCCACTGGCCCTTCAGGAAGACAAAACATAAATAAAAAGGAAACTGAGGCCAGGAGTTTGAAACCAGCCTGAGCAACACAGTGGGACCTTGACTCTATGAAAAACTTTAAAAAATAACAATAATAAGGAGAAAGTCCAAGAAATTTTTAAAAATTTTCTAAAACTCAGGAACATGAAATTTCTGTATAAAAGAACACACTACATGGTAAAGACAATAAGTGGAAAAAAAAAAAACCAAAGCACATCATGAAATTCCAGAGTGCCCGGGATAATAATAATAACAATAATAGATCAAAAGCTTCCAGAGAGAAAATAAAGGTTACTTACAAAGGATCACCAACTAAGGCAATATCTGACCTTTCAATAACATCACAAGAATCTTGGCAATGTTACAAAGCCTTCAACATCTGAGAGAAATATATTTTCAACTTACATCTAGAGACAATCAATCACGTTAAAGGTAAAAGAAACGCTCACGCTGGTATGGAGGGTCTGTATCTCTCGTGAACTCTTTATCTCAGGAAATTATGAAAGGATGTTAACCACTAAAAAATTTAAGATAAAGAAAGATCAAAGCACCCAAAACCACAGAGGAAATAATATATACAGGAAAGAGACAAATTCCCATGTTTATGACAAAGCAATATCCCAAGACAAAAACTATGGAGCAGACCTAAACAGCCGCTGGTTTGGATCAGAACAAGAGGATGGTGAGCTCCCAGAGAGATACCTTTAAGGAAAAAAAATGGAACTGATGGATCATTTGATAAGAGATATTATAAAATATTACAAAACCATAAAAATGGTATTTTTGTCAGAGTTTGGTCATATTGTCTGAGTTTGGAAAAATAATTAAAATGGGTTTATAGACACTGAGCAAATAAAAAAATGAAGTAAAGGATTATAAATCATGCTGCTATAAAGACACATGCACATATATGTTTATTGTGGCACTATTCACAATAGCAAAGACTTGGAACCAACCCAAATGTCCATCAATGATAGACTGGATTAAGAAAATGTGGCATATATACACCATGGAATACTATGCAGCCATAAAAAAGGATGAGTTCATGTCTTTGTAGGGACATGGATGAAGCTGGAAACCATCATTCTCAGCAAACTATCACAAGGACAAAAAACCAAACACTGCATGTTCTCACTCACAGGTGGGAATTGAAAAATGAGAACACTTGGACACAGCGGGAGGGATAGCATTAGGAGCTATACCTAATCTAAATGATGAGTTAATGGGTGCAGCACACCAACATGGCACATGTATACATATGTAACAAACCTGCACGTTGTGCACATGTACCCTAAAACTCATAGTATAATAAAAAAGAAAAAAAGAAAAAAAAAGAAAGAAAATGTGGCACATATACACCATGGAATACTATGCAGCCATAAAAAAGGATGAGTTCATGTCCTTTGTAGGGACACGGATGAAGCTGGAAACCATCATTCTCAGCAACCTATGGCAAGGACAAAAAACCAAACACCACATGTTCTCACTCGTAGGTGGGAATTGAACAATGAGAACACTTGGACACAAGAAGGCGAACAACACACACCGGGGCCTGTCATGGGGTCGGGGGAGGGGGGAGGGATAGCATTAGGAGATATACCTAATGTAAATGACGAGTTAATGGGTGCAGCACACCAACATGGCGCATGTATACATATGTAACAAACCTGCACGTTGTGCACATGTACCCTAGAACTTAAAGTATAATAATAAAAAAAAGAAAAAAAATGAGGTAATGACAAAACAACCATAAAGTTGACAAGAAATGTAATTATGCTATGAAGCTTCAATGTAACTAATTTTTATTTAGTCTTTATGGCAGCAGCTGCTAGTTGTCCTTTAATTTCCATTCTCTTCTTCTATAGTAACAGAATTATTAGTTGGGACTAAGCTTACCAAATAAAGACTACATTTCCCAGCTAGATGCGTCAATGTGACTAAGTACTGGTCAATGAAGTGTAAAAAGTGATACAATTTCTGGGTTGTACTCTTAAAGGAAATTTTGTTACTGATTGGAGTACAGACCTGGTGGGTAGTTAGCCATTTTGGATCTTGAGAAGACAAAGGAAACCTGGGTCCCTGACAACTTTGTGAGCATAGCTGCCATACCAGATTGAACTTTTACCTGACAGATAAATAAACTTCTGTCTTTTTTAAGCCACTAATATTTTGGCTCCCTGTCGCAATCAAACCTGCATCATAACTATTACAAATATAACACTGTAAACACATAACACTATGCTAAAAGTATACTAGGGAGGGGAAGGTAACTAAGTTAAACTTTTGTTTTCTGTCAAAAGAATTCAGTAGATATAGTTTAAAGCTGAAATACCAAGAAAGAGCACTAAAAGCATGTTTATTAAGAATATAGATATAAATACTAAAAGAAACAGCTTAATGTAGTTGCTTCTGGTGAGCAGGACTTAGGGATAAGGAGAGGTAGGACAAAGGCCTTTCTGTCTTTTCAGCCTTATTGCATGGTGCTATTGAGCTTTTAAAATAATATACATGTATTATTTTGATAAAAATATAAATTAAATTCAAAAATTACCTGAGTTGTCACTCTTGAACTGCTATAAACTAAGTTTCATATTGAGAATTAGTTGGTATCATGCTAAAAACGAGGATGGGACACAGAATGGATATCTAAGGGTATTAGTGTGGGTAAGAAGTTGATTAGAATATGCAGGCACCAAATCCAAACTTCTATATTTAGCCCTGGGTATACTACTGAAAATCATTGCACTCTAGTGGGATTTGGCCTCAAAAAAATAAGGAAAATTATTGCGTTTTCATTAATATATGGAAGCTTGAAGTCAGTATTTACTTATTTTTTAAAATAAAAACAGGGTTGACAAACCCTAGCATCTCACCCGTAAACGATTTAACATCTGAAGTATTCTTCCATTCCATCTCTCTGTCTCAATATTTTCTTCATTGCTCAATGACTCCTGTTTGAATGATAGATAAAATATTTAATTTAAGCAAATTTTACTAAATGCTGACTATTTGCCCATCATAGTGTTAGCTTCTACAAGAAACACAATTATTACAATGGGTCCTGCCAAATAAAGAGCTTATAATCTTTATTATTTATAAAAAGAATAAGGCTAACATACAAATATAAACCACCTTTGCACAATTACACCTGTACTCTCCAGGGTCTCTTCTGATAAGAGGCTCCAAAATAGGAGATTCTGCCATCTTTATTTGTTAATGTGTCCAGGGTCTTACGGTTACTTTGAAAAGCAAAATTAGCAAAGACAACAACTTTTGCCTAGGGTTATCCTAGTTCTGGTCAATCTGAACTCAGTTGACAGGAGTAAACATACAGCTATTTCTGTCTTGTAAAGGCCTTTATCTGAACTTATCTGGTAATGGAAGCTCTAAACATAACTGCTGTCTAGTAGTTTGTGTACAATTGGGTTAGAAATCTTTCAGATTTCGAGATGCCTTGTCCAAGGCATCTGTGCCTTGGACATGTCTGTCATGTTATCTAAATAGATTCTTTTTTTTTTTTTTTTTTTTTTTGGTATTTAAGGCTTAACCACTTTCAGAAATACCTCAATATTTAAAAATGGTATTCTAATCCCTTACAAACTAACACCTTATGATGTGAGAACAGAAACTGAGCATATGAAAGGTGTTCATGAATCTGATAAAAGAGTAGGCTTACAAAGGGTTGGGGGAAGGGAAGTGGCACAAACCTGGCCTACTTCATAATTTTTCCTAAGCTAATTCTGACTATGCAGCCCAACAGCATCTATGTCACTCTCACCTCATGTCCACTGTCTGTCTAGCCTTCATGTATAGGAGCCCAGACACTTCCTAAAAGTGCTTTCAATTTCATAGACTCCAAGACAATTACAGAAAGCACCAGAATATTCTGCATGACATTTTAAATCATGTGAGGCTAAAGGGACTCTTTGACTAAGCCTGGGAGCTACTGAGTCCCCATTTCCACCAACTATACCAGCTTCCTAGGCCTGCCTATGCTGTATGCTTTCTTATATTCCAAAAAGACTGATTTGAAAATACGGTCACTTTATTCTAGAGAGTTTTCTAAATCCCTTCAGCTACAATTTATGATTATTCTTTTCTGGTCTCTCCTTGGATAAATGAGGACACCCACTTATTAATGTTTATTTTATTGTTAAATAAACAAATGCAGTTTTTGAAATGTAAAAACCTCTTTGTTAAAGATCCATGAGACTCTAGCTTCATCTATAATGCACAACTAAACTAACCAGAGAAAGGCTCAGAAGAAATACTCTGTGCATTCTGCTAAAGCCTGTCCACTTGATCTATCTGGACACCCTACAGCTGAATCTATTGTGTAAAAAGCCCAGTGGATTATTAAAACAGCTGAACTTGTGCTATGTTGTGGTTTGCTTGACCATGTATGAAAATAACCTGCATCTACAGAAGCACAGCGAATAGCAAAAATGAACTAACCCACTTCTGGCTCAGCTGTTTGGATACTTCAGGTAAAAAGTTCAGGTAATTTATTCTGTCCTAGATTATCTAGAGAATTTGGTCTCTTTTCCTTGTATGAAAAACAATCAAAGAGTCTTGGAACTCAATATATAGATAATTTTATAGAAGCAAATTAACATCAGGCTTACTAGGTGTTTTTATATTATTTACTAAAAAACTTTTACTAAAATTCCTTACAATCTTAAAAATGTTTTCAGTATGCTGGGATAATACCAGAGAAATAAGACAGTTAATAAGCAGGGAGTCAGGGAAATCAGACTTTACTTCTGTCTTTGCTATTGACATGTGGCCCTCTGACTACCAGATTATTTTGTTTCAGATTTCCAGAAGCCTTGTATAGATACAAGCCTTGTGCCACATAATGTTAAAGGAAAAATTGCCCACAAGTTTTTTGTAAATAAGATAAAATTTCAAATGCCCTAGGCCATACTCTTAATATAGTTCTGTTTCTTTAGAGATGTTATATCAATAATTTAAAACAGTGATTCTCAACATTTAAAATCCTGTCACTACTTTTGATAAGCACAAAAACCTCACACTTTCCCTTAAAAGTATTTGAAGTTTCAAAAGAAATTAAAGAAAGACAAAAAAATCAGAGCAATTCAGAATATTTTATCAAACTATTCACAAACATCTCTGTTGTAATCACAAATTTAAATTATAAATTTAGAAAGTAACATGACAGCTATAAAAGCCAAGTTTTAGATAAATAAGGTGTTAAATATTTAGGAATAAAGTTTTTAAGAACATCCCCAAGACTACACATATATTTACCAATTCAACTGGACTATATTCAATTTCTTGTGCAAATAAGTCATTCATTAAAGATGATTCCTCAGCAGCTAAAGACACCATTTCAACAATATCCTGCTGAAGCAAATTAGGGAAAGTTAGGTAAATCTGCCAGTGGTTATACAGGAACAATCTAATTTTATTAAATGCTTTAATCACATGAATGCTCACTTCTCAAACTAATTTAAAATACTACCCACATTCTCAAAATATTATCTCTGAAATACCCCAGATAGGCAGTCTTTGACTTAAATGTTACAATTTTCCATATGCCTCCCATAAAGGAAGAACTTGCATGCCCCTTCCCTCCTTGCTTCCTATCCTTTTCCTATTTCCCTCTCTACTGCAGACCTCACATTAAAAGTCTCTACTGCTGTGCTACTGAGACCACTTTGCTTTGAAGCATTTTATATAGCCCCACTCCCCTACCTCTATTCTCATGCCAATACCAGGTGGCAGAGGAAAGAGATCTGCAATAAGCAAGCAGAGAGGGAGTGAGAGTGAGGAAAGGGATATTAATATCCCTACCGAGGACCATGACAGGATTCCTGCCACCACTGCTGGAGCTGTCACGGGCAAAAGGGAAGAAGAACCTGTCTGTTGGAAGGGGAGTGAAGACATAAAGGAAGAAAGAAAAAGAGACAGAGATTTCCTAGTCCCTATCATCTCCTTCCCTTCTCATTGCTATAGAAGCTATCAACCTCTTTTCATCTTCAACCTGTCTCCAAGCTTCATTCCCCAGCTGTCCTCCTCAATCTTGATTAAGGGCCTCCTCTAAGATAGTTTACTTGCTTTTTCACTCAGCTTTAAAAAATTTTAGTAAACATAAGGAGTTACATTTTATTATTTAATATACATATTTGTGAAGCCTTGTTTTTCTCTTTCAATTTCTATGAGTATTCTACATTTTTGATACTCTCAATTTTGCAGGTATGGTATATAAAAATTCTGTTTTATGAAGATTTGAAAATGATTCATCAGAATCAATATTCTCTTGTCCCTTATTGTTCTTGTGCTCCCATGCTTGACTATATTTCACATTTGTTAACCATTTTTGGAAGCAGAATAAGAGGAGTATTGAAGGTTTAAAGCATAAGCATAAGGTAAAGGAGTAAAGGTTCAAAAGAACTGGTACATCGATCTCTCTTCTCTCTACTTCAAGCCCATGGGACAATCTATCTTGTTATATCTGTGATAACTGCAGTTGTATTTTCCTTCCAAAAAATCATAAACTAAACAGGTTTGCCTAATCATAATTTTCGGTAGGTACACTTTAACAAATGCCTGAGCCCAAGTGAGGGAGAGAGTAGTACTAGCAACCCAGTGTCTCAATATCCAGTATATTATCAAATATTTAGTAAAATACATTCTGTTTGAATGCACTGTGAAATTGTCTTTCCTTCCAAGGGCATTCAGTTTCAACATGGGTTGACTTTGAATTCCCTGAGTGGTTATCAAAATACAGTGATAATGGAACAGACCATAAAAACACTGGTTTATTTTTAACTGGTGTGGCTATAATATTTATATTTGTACAACCAATAAAATAACAACTGAGAAAATATTTCAAAGTACATTATTTCCAATTGTGTTTTCAAATAGTAATATTTTTCAAATAAAAAATTATATCTTAAAAAGTTTTTAAAATTTTGTTTTGGTCATAGATCTTTAGATAGTCTTTCAGATTCAAGGCCAAGGAATTGGTGGGTCTAAAATATATTATTCTTAGAGATACTTGGGTGAATTTATGATGAAAAGCAAAACTTAGGCATACTGGCTGCAGTTCTAAAACATTCCATGACACAAAGAATATGAGGCCTAGTAGGATTCTCAGCATATAACTAGGTTTACATAGAGACAATCATTGATTTAACGTATCATGCAAAATACTAGCTTGGTATGAAACCACCTTATCTTGCAATTTACATCCTAAACTCCTAGAAAAATTCTGCAGAAGAAAATCATGTTTTACCCTGCTACTTACTAAACAAATTGCAAAACAATTTAAAATGAAATATGAACTACACAAATGTAAGAAAATATACCAGAGTCCCAACATTCCTTTACTGTATCTGTAGAAAATAAAATATTTTTACGATTCTCTCTGGATAACTTACCTCAGAGTTAATATTTTTATTGGTATCCTCATGAGAGCTATGCTGAGATCCACCAATCACATCCTTCCAAGTTTGGGGTTTACTTAACTCTTGCTGGTAATTTGGCTCTTGCATCATGGATGTCTCTGAATTATCAAGGAAATAAAGACAATTTCACCAAAATATCTTTCAAACTTGAATTGTGATATGGTTGTAACAAAAGAAAACTTCTGACAGACATGTTGGGATCCAAGAATTTAAGCAAAGGATACACAAACTTTCTTATTGCTCCCAAGTCTCACATATGTATCTTCCCTTTCTTGTCCTCTGTCTCTATCACCTCCACTCCCCATTCTCTGCCAACCATCTCCTCTACACACGCTCTCACACATTCACTCACAAGACAACATGGACAGTTCAAGCCCATTGTGGTATATTGTTCAGCAGGTTTTAATGCCTTCAGGAAGGGTGATCAGGAAGTGGAAGCTCACTCATCACATCAATTGGTTTTATTATCACTTTATAATTATCATGATAATAATCAGTGATTATTAATACTCCATGTGCCTTTTGGGTAGACAGAAATATCTGCGTCAGGTTAAGTGTATTAAGTGCTGTTCTTATCCTTACATGACTTTTCATGTTAGTTGTTTTACATTGAAACTTTATCTTGCTAGATATAAAGATTTTCTTTTTTGAGGATTTTTGAGTATGCCTTTGGGAGTGAAGGAGGTAGAAAGAGTGATAATAAGAATGGTTTACATAGTATATATATTTCATCTTTTTAACGAAATCTCTGGGACAAAAATTAATCCAAAATGCAGAAAAATGCAATACCGAGGTAATAATTTCATTTAAGTTCCACTACTCTTCCAGAGTTAGCATTTATACTTGAGAATATGGAATTGGATCCCACCTTCATTTTGAAATTTAAAACATCAAATTTTTGTTTCCACAGCATTCCCCTCAACATCAACAGAATTAAGAAGTCTCACCTACTATATTTTGGTTTCCCACTTCTTCCCTTACTGACTCCTTCTGTATCATTTTTCTTCCAAGTTTAAAGCCAGAGGACAGAAAGCATTTTGTAAACAACTGTAAAAATACACATTTTTGTTTTTTTTGTTTTTGTACCAGCAAAGCAATTCAAGAAAACACAAGCACATATCTAAAAAGGAAAAACTATAATTCATACACACAATACAGAAAATTAATTCAAAATGAGGAAGTACTTCTTCGCAAGTTTAAATTCTGTTATATATGTATGTAAATATGTGTTTATTTATTTATTTATTATTTATTTATAACCAGACATTGCTCACATGTAGAAGGGTAGGAACCGTTACCATTTTCAGTTCAGCATGAATCAAATCCTGGGCAGCAGTTGACAGAAGTGTATGCACTCCTCCCCTCTTCTTCCACATCATCAATCTTTGGGTAGGAGGTGCAAGTTCCAAAACCATGAGTGTGTCCGCAAAGGAAGTAAGCTGTTTATGTATAACTTTGCTACTGAGCTCCTTGATAGGATCTATGAGCAATCTCCTCTTTTTGCCTTTCCTTTTCTCAGCAATGTCTAAATATAAGAAATAGCACAAATGTGATTGGTTATACAGCTTTCTAAAATCATATTGTAGGCACTAAATACTTAAGAAATTTCTAAGCCAGGCACGGTGGCTCATGCCTGTAATCCTAGCACTTCAAGAGGCTGAGGTGGGCGGATTGCTTGGGCCCAGGAGTTCAAGACCAGCCTGGGCAACATGGCTAAACCCCGTCTCTACAAAAAATACAAAAATTAGCCACACATGGTAGCACGCACCTGTAGACCCAGCTACTCAGGAGGCTGAGATGGGTGGATCCCTTGAGCCTGAGTGGCAGAGGTTGAAGTGAGCTGAGACCACATCACTACACTCCAGACTGGGCAACAGAGCAAGACCCTATCTCCAAAAGAGAAAAGAAATTTCTACCACAGTACAACCTACAGTGTTGCATTGGAAAGAAAATCCCTTCTCCCCTCTGAAAATTATGCTGAGCAACCAATAGCTGATACATTTTGTAAGGTGTTGCTTGGAAGTGCTTAGAAAGGGATCTACCTGTTAAGTGAGCAACTGAGGAAAGGTGGGGAAGAGGGAAGTCCACCAATTTGGAGGTTCCTTAAAATGCTTATGTAATAGAATAACTTTCTACAACACTCATTTGTATTTGTCCAGTGTATTTTTCCCTCTCCCACTGAAATTCATAGACATTCCAAGCAGGTAACTAGGTCCATAGGATTTCACTCCACCAGGGAATTTTACCAGGCAGAAAGCAGAAGTCAAGCTTTTCTTTAGTAAAGCTGTAAAAGGGGAGAGAGGGTTAGATTTCTCAGGATTGATAAAGATCCAAGATCAAATGGAGCCAAAATGTACAGGAACCTGCTTGCTGGCTGATGTGCCTCAGTAAAATCCCAGGAACAAGACAAGATACTGGAGAGGTTGGCTATGTGATGATCCCCAAGGCTATGTAAGCTGGAGCCCTGGGAACCACAGATTGGTATAGCTGATAACCAGAGGTTCCCTTCCACCTTCCATACCCCTCCCCCAAACTTTGGAACTACATGGTGGAAATAAGACAGGGAAGCTACACAGATTGAATTTCCTGCCAGCCTAGTGAGATAGAGGCTCAGTGGTGAATTCAGTTAAAAAAAAAATGCTTTACTGTTTGCATGCCTGAGTTTATAAACTGAAATTCATATCAATTATACTACCTACAACTAGGATGTTTCTAAATGACCTAGTTATATTAGTTATATTAGACTAGTAGTTACATTAGATATATTAGATTCATACTTACTACTTATCCCTAAAAATATGATGCTTGAAGTTAAATGCTAGAAGGCATTCGCCTCTCCTCTGATCTTTTTATTCTGCCTTATATTATATTCACTTGCATGACTATTTATCTTCCTGACTAGATTGTTTTCTAAGCTTCTTAAAAGTAAAAAGTGTGTGTCTTCTTTATTCCCGTGCCCACTACAGAGTAATGGCTCAATACCTTCCTAAATTGAACTTAGTTTAAAATTTTTCAGTTTCCCAAACTGGATACATGGTTTGAACAGGACTGAATATAATGCAAGTGATACAGAGGTACAGGACAAATGAGCCCCAGAGTGGAGCTTAGCCCATCTGGGTTCTTGGCTTTGTCCAGGAAAAGAATTCAAGGGCAAGTCAGAGGTAGAAGAAAACAGCTTTATTGAATAGGCAGTGTTACACCTCTGGTGGTGTTACAGCTCTAGCACCGTAACTGCTGCTGCAGAGCAGGGCTACTCAGCAGGCCCAGACTAGCAGCTCAGGGCAGTTTTGCAGTCATATTTATACCCACTTTTAATTGTATGCAGATTAAGGGGGCTGGTTTATGCAGGGAAGGAGTAGGAATCATTGGGTCATCACCATGGAAAAGGGTGAATTCCCGGTGTTGCCATGGCAGCAGTAAATTGACATGGCACACTGGTGGGTGGGTGTGATTGAAAGCTCCCCCCACCCACCTTGTAACTAGTCCTCATCTGGTCCGGTGTCCAACCCCCAATTCTGGAGTTGAGTCCCGCTTCCTACCTCAAAAGGATCATCTAAAATTTTCTTCACCGTCTTCTCCTCTATTGTGTTACAAGTGCTATTACTAGATTGACTATCTCCTATAATATTTCAGTGATTATTCAAACATCTCAAAGTAAATAAGTTAACAGTGTATTAAAAATTAAAACAAAACCGTAAATGCCTCTGACCTGAAATATCAATTGGATCAAGGGTAAATCCTTCCTCTTCAGTTGATAATAATATTGTTTCATTCATTTTTTCATTTTCAGGTACACATATACACTCTGAGTTATCTGGTTCAACTAATCAACATCCACATAAAAGTAATTGTAAAAAAAACCAGTTAGGATGCAGGCTAGAGGACTGTATGAGAATTAAAGATAAAGATAAACTAACTGAAGATTTATATTACTAACTGGAACATCTGAATTCTTAGAACCATTTATTTAATAGAGCTGAAGAGGCTTACAGATTATATGGTGTGGGACCCACAGTATTCGAGTGAGTCAAGTATCATCATCCCCTTTTGCACATGAGACATCTAAGGGTGGGCTAAAGTCACAGCAGATGTGAAAACAGTGGCAGCAACTACAGTAAATGACTGATAACAATTTGACTATATGTCTGCTAAAAAAAAATTCTATTCTGTTAAATCACTTATCAGTTGATCCATAAAAAACCATAAGTAAAATTTTATTACTTTTAGCTCTTTGTATTTTCAGTTTCTACTGTTGTTTTTAGAAAGCAAATATAACATCAAAAATTGTGGCAAATAAAAAATGGGGCTAATTGTACTTTTAATTCTTAAGAAAAATCAGACTAAAATACCTCAAATCATCTGAGGTACTTCCGTATGAATTTCAAATAGGGAAAATATCCTCAATTTGTAATTTCTCTCAAATTGTATGTAGATTATCAAACCATACTAGTTAATAAATTTTCTTACCATTTACCATATACTATTTTAATAATTCAAAAAGCACAATATATTGGCAGAGTTCTCTCATGCTAAGCCCAATCCTGGCTAAATACCCTTCAGTGTACCTTTATCAGAATCCAATTTCCTATTTTATATTGTCTACAGTCAGACTAACAGAGTCTGAAAGACATTGTTCTTTATCTTTCACTATACTATATTGCTACTTAAATTCAGAAGTTCTGAGGCTTAAACATTAGTAACCCATTACTTTCTCATAAAGGAAAATTTCAACCTACCTGCTAAACTATTGGGAGGCTCAGAAGGCAGGGAAATTTCTCTGTTCAAATGCATGTCTTCTAACAGGATATTCTGATCATCTTGCAATAGATTGTCTTGAAAAACACAATGAATATTTTTTCATACAGACTGGAATCTGTCATTTGTTCACTAAACATTTATTAATGTTACTTTATGCATTTCATTGTAAAGGAATAACCAGATCTTTAATGTGAACTAGAGAATTTTAAAAAAGATTTGATAGGAACAGCCAATAAATAATCTTTAAAACGTGCATTTTGGCTGGGCGCAGTGGCTCACTCCTATAATCCCAGCACATTGGGAAGCTGAGGCGGGTGGATCACCTGAGGTCAGGAGTTTGAGATCAGCCTGACCAACATGGTGAAACCCCATCTCTACTAAAACTAGAAAAAAAATTAGCTGGACATTGTGGTGGGCACCTGTAATCCCAGCTATTCAGGAGGCTGAGGCAGAAGAATCACTTGAACCCAGGTGGCAGAGGTTGCATTGAGCCAAGATGGTGCCATTGCACTCCAGCCTGGGCGACACAGCAAGGCTCCGTCTCAAAAATAATAATAATAATAATAAATAAAACATGTGCATTTGGACTTCTTAGTTTTTCTCTACCCGATTTCTATGACTATTTTATAATGTGAAATAGTCTATGTTAAGAGTAAAACAAATAAAACTGATAAAATAAAGAAGGCAATAAATTGGTAGAAGGCCTTGAGGATAGGTAGAGGTATTTGATACAGTAAGTCATGGGGACCCAAGGCCTTAAGCAGGGGAATATAAATATAAAATAATAATATAAAATTCTGGAAAATAACTTAGCTGCCCCACAATGTATGTTAAAGAAAACAATGTTTTCCAGTACATAGCCTAGTATATTTTATAAGGAATATACTAACCTCACTCTCTCCCCTCCAAAAATTAGGAATTTGTAAAAATAAAAACAAGCAGTAGTTCATAACCTCTATAGAAAATATATTTAAACAGACGGCTATTTACTTAGGCCTAGCCTAAATGTTTAAACATGCCACAGACTTTGAAAACTTGTATAAAAAAAAGTATTGACCTACATAACACAAAAACATATTTGAAATTTTAGATTGATATAATAAATCTACTAATATATTGTAGTAATTTGATGAAAATAAATATTTTATTTCCACATGACCAGATAGCATACCAATCATTTCTCCTGCAGCTCCTTCATCTCCAAACCCATCTCCACTGTCATAGAATAGAGATCGTTCTCCAGTGAGGCTTCCAGAACTATGTTCAATTAAAGGACCACTGGAATTCAGTAATATGTTGTCATCAAAGAAGCTATGTCTTCTGAGAATTTCAGATTCCTCCCCTAAATAAATATATATCATTAATACTAATTCATAGAAACACAGAATTATAGGGTTAGAAGGAAATTCAGATATCATCTAGCATAATCTTGTCATCCAACACCTCATTTTATAGATGAAGAGAATGGCTGAAAGACTTACTTGAATTATTCAACTAAGGTCACTCAATCAGTAGAGACATGATTTTTAGTCTAATGCCCTTTCAAATACAATGGAAAAAATGCCAACATATTACATAGAGTTTATAGTTGTGATATAGTTTAATAACTTCCTAAGGTAAAAGTACTATGGAAAATAATTTATTCTATTTTAGGTAAGTAAGTTCTGCTTGACCAAGTATATTTCATAGTATTTCAAGGACAATTGCTTGTAGTGTTCATGCATAGTGGAGGTTTGGAAAATAAGGAACATGTTAGTCATCTCAGGAAATGGAAACGTAGGTAAAATATTAAAGAATGGGCTTACAACATTCATTCAATAAATATCGAATATGCTAGGAGGCAGTGATAGAGGTCCGTTAAAAAAAAAAAAAGACAAACCCAGTCAGCTAACAGTAACCGAGTGTTTATAGTATGTATTATATTATGTAATAGAAGATACTATTATAATTCTCATTGTACAGATGAGGAAACACATCCACAGAAAGGTTTTGTAACTTGCACACAGTCACACTATAATAAATGACAAGAGTCAGGATCTGAACCCAGCTCTCTCTGACTCCAGAGCCTGCATCCTGACAATCACAACACTACACTGATAGTTCCAGGGGACCAGAAGTCAGCTCTTGACCAGACATCAGTTATTTCCCTCTCTTGGGTTTGAATCTCTAGGTCCAGGAGTCTGAAACCCCAGAGGTCCAAGGTTAGTCTTCTCCTCCCTCTAACAACCCATGTTAGTGTTAGACAGTAAAGAAAATCATGAAGTATTACCCATATTGAAAATTCTTCTATAGACCTAAATCTTCTAGAATGGAAGAGTGGAAAAAAACAACTATCATGACAATGGATTAAAGAATTGCTCAGAAGAAAAGACTAAATTACTTTTTCAAAAACTAAGAATGTATTCATATCATCTAGGTACAGCTTGATAGCTCCCAAAGGAAAAGCCAGCGTTGGTCAATCAGAGAATAAGACTTATGAAGACACTATATTCTCAGCATTGAACATCACAAGAATATCAGATTATACAAAATACATAAAAGAAATAATCATTGCCTTTGATCTTATATTACAATCCAGAATAAGATGGATTAATTTTAAATATTTCTTAGAGGACATTAGGTTTGAAGCAGTTTTTATAGAAGAGAAAAATCACATATTGGTGAAGAAGATTAAAGGAAGGAATAAGGGGAATAACCCTATGATGTTGTTAGTTATATCCCAACTTTACAAATAGGGACAGTAAGGCTCAAAGAGGTTAGGCAATCTGCCCAGTGTCACACAGGAAATCAATAGAGAAAGTTCAGATTCAAACCCAAATCTGCCCATTTACTAAGAACATGTTCTTCCCACCTTTTAAAATTGTAAAGGAAGATACAGAAATGTGAACAACTAAATTGTATTTGTTGGGTGGTAAGACATTTGCTTGACTAGAGCAAAAAGTCCACATTAAGAGTAAAACAAAGCTGATAAAATAAAGAAGGTGATAAATTGGCAGAGGGCCTTGAGTATAGGTAGAAGTATGTGATACAGTAAGTTATAGGGACCCAAGGCACTTAAGCAGAGGAATGTGATATATCAAAAATGGAATTTAAAGACAATTGCTCTTACAAAGATGTATAAAATGTGGGAAGAGACTGGAGGAAGATTTGTAGGAGGGTATTGCAGTACTCCAGGTCTTTGGTACTGGTGAACTATATCACTGGCTAAGGAAATAGAAAAAAGATCTAAGAGACATTTCAGAATTAAAAAACAAACAAACAAACAAACAACCCAGCACTAGTATGAAGCTGACAGAAAGTATAGTTAAAAGTGATCCTGGCCGGGCACGGTAGGTCATGCCTGCAATCCCAGCACTTTGGGAGGCTGAGGTGGGTGGATCACCTGAGGTCAGGAGTTCAAAACCAGCCTGGCCAACATGGTGAAACTCCATCTCTACTAAAAATACAAAAATTAGCCGAGTGCGGAGGTGCATGCCTGTAGTCCCAGCTACTCCAGAGGCGGAGGCAGGAGAATCGCTTGAGCCTGAGAGGCAGAGGTTGCAGTGAGCCGAGATCGTGCCACTGCACTGCAGCCTGGGTGACAGAACAAGACCCCATTTAAAAAAAAAAAAAAGTGATCCTAAAGTTTCAAGCCCAAATAAGAATAGTAGGGGAATTTGTAAAGAGTGTCTTGGGAGTAGGGAATATGATTACCTCTTTGCCAATGTGTTGCAATTCTGGGTCTGGGGTTATAGCCAGTAAGAGATCAGTGCTACTTAAAGTATAATCTGTGGACTGGTACTGGTCCACAAGAAAGAAAATACAGAAATAAAAGCACATTTTCAGAAAGTTTTACAGAAATTTGACAGAGCAATTTTATATATGTTGACTCTAATAACAAAACTTAAGACTTGTATTTTGATTTTTAAATTTTTAATTTTTCTAATAATTCATTTTATTGTATTTTACACAGTAAAATACAATACAGATTGAAAATGGACAAATATTAGAAAACTGGTCCTTCACCACAGGCTGAGAAACACAGCTACAGATATGGCAAGAGTTACGGAAGCAGAGTAAGGATGAGAAGCTGAGGTTAGAGATGTCGCTCAAGCATTACTTTCTTGACTCCCCTCCCCGACCAAGATAGACATAGGCCATCTTTCTCCTATACTCATTGTTTTGGGCACTATAGGAAACTCAAATATGAACATTACACAGATTCTATCCTCATGGAGTTTGTAGACCAAGACAAGAGGTGTATAAATATCATGATATAAGACAGGGAGTAGGAGATGCCAGAAAAAAAGATCAAATACTCTATAGTTAAATTACACCATATTGCTTCCATTTTAAAGTACACTAGCCAGGCACAGTGGCTCATGCCTGTAAACCCAACAATTTGGGAGTCTGAGGCAGGAGGATTGCTTGAGCCTAGAGGTTCAAGACCAGCCTGGGCAACATAGCAAGACCCTGTCTTTACAAAAAAGTTTTAAAAAATTAGCTGAGTGTGGTGGCATGCACTTGCAGTCCCAGCTACTCAGGAGGCTGAGGCGGGAAGATTGTGAGCCCAGGTCAAGGCTTCAGTAAGCCATGATCATGCATTCCAACCTGGGTGACAAGAACAAAACCCTGTGTCAAAAAAAAAATTTAAAAATAAAGTACAATCGCCTTGCCCAAACAAGAGTTTAACATTTTAAAAATCAGTTTCTGTTTCACAATCAATATATACATTTAGTGTGGTAGCATTTCCTCTTCCTCACCCCCAGGCTGATTTAAAAGGCATTATTTTACAATTGATATTATCATATACCAGAAGAAATATATTTTGAAGGCATTTCATGCAGCATACATATAAAATCTTGTATGTATGTTGACCATCTTAACTGTTTATTTATGTGTCTCTCTCACACCCAGAATCTCCTTGAGGGCAGGAACTGCTTCTTTAAATTTTGGTACTGCCCTGTCTATTGATAGCACCTGATACAGAGTAGGTATTCAGTAAATGGTTATACACTGAGAATAGAAGTATATCCTAAGACTGAGTCTTGGCATTGACATCTATACTAGAAAAAGGCAAGGAAAAATGTATTGGGAATTACATTTACACATCAAAAGATTCATTCTATAGCTACGTCTACTGGCATTATTTCAATACACAAATACAAATATAATTGATTATAATTTGTAATTTTGAGTTCTCAAATATTCTCACCAAAGCTCTCAGCTTGGAAAATTAGATCATTGTCAAAATTTTCTCTAAGAGTGATTTCTTCTGGTCTGCTTTGGTTCTGAGTAAAGTGTTCTGAAACATCAATAGCACTATGGAGAAATAGAAGGTTGAGAAAAACATGAGAACAGAAAACAATGATACTGTAAAAATATCATTGATATAGTGAAGAAACTAAAACAACTTTCATTTTCTCAATAGTATTATTTATAAACACTAGTTTATTATATATACATGTATATAAATAATCTCTAGGCTTCCAAATCCAGTGGTCAATTTTCAGTCCCTTATCTTATTTGCACAAACAAACAGCACTTGACTTAGATGTTGACTTTTGCTATGGCCTAAATGTTTGTGTCTTCTTCACCTCAAATGCATATTTTGAAATCTAATCTCCAATGTGATGGTATTAGGAGGTGGGAGCTTTGGGAGATAATTAGGTCATGAGGGCAGATTCCCATGAATGAGATTAGTGCCTTTATAAAAGAGGCCCCAGGAAGCTGCCTCAATCTACCATGTGAGAATACGGTGAGAAGGTTGCCATCTATGAATCAGGAAGCAGGCCATCACCAGACGATGAATCTGCTGGCAAGTTTATCTGGAATTTCTCAGCCTCCAGAATGATGATAACTAAATTTCTATTGTTAATAAGCCACCCAGTTTATGGTATTTTGTTACAGCAGCCCAAACAGACTAAACAACTCCCTTCCTCATGGAATACATTCTTCTCTTGGCCTCTGAGGTATCACTATTTCTCGATTTTCTTCCTACCTGCTCCTTTTCTGTTCCTAATATCCCAGACTAACTACTGGGAATGACCAAATACTAAGTCCTCAGATCCCTCTCTCTCTTTACTTTTTTTAAATGTATACTCACTACCTTGGGGATCTCTTAGAGTCCATGGTTGAAGTTCCATCTATACACTCACAACTTGCAAATTTATACATCCACTTCAGACCTCTCTCCTGAATTTCAGACCCGGAGAGTCAACTACTTACCTACTCCCTTCGATATTGTGTTAGTCCATTCGGGCCACTAGAATAAAATAACTTAGATTGGGTAACTGATAAACAACAGAAATTTATTGCTCACAGTCCTGGAGGATGTGAAGTACAAGATCAAGGTGCCAGCAGATTTGGTGTCTGGTGAGGGCCTGTTCCTCATAGATGGTGTCTTTTTGCTGTGACCTCACACAGTGGAAGGGACAAGAAAACTCCTACAGGTCTCTTTTATAAGGGAACTAATCTCACTTATGATGGTGGAGCCCTTATGACCTAATCACTTCTCTTATGACTTAATCACCTCTCTTATGACCTAATCACTTCCAACTCTTTTGTTGTTGTTGTTCCTAAAAGGTCATTCTGGCTTCAGAGCCCCACCTCTTAATACCATCACCTTGAAGGTTAGGTTTCAACATATGAATTTTAGGGGAACACATGCATTTAGACCATAACAGATGTGTAACAGTCATCCCAAAACTTATATGCAAAACCTAGTTTACTTCCTTCTCTCTGCCCCCTTTAAATCTGATTATACTAATCTTATGAAGTGTTAAGTCTGTTCTCATGCCAAAAATCATATAGTATCCTTCATTTTCTCTTAAAGCTATATGCAATTCATCAGCAAATTCTCCTGGCTTCGCTTTCCAGATATATCTGTAACTTGACTGCTACCACCTGGGTGAGATGATGACTGAGAACTGATCATAGATACTGCATTCTCTTATCTGGACTTCTTACTACAATAACTTTCTCATGTGCTTTCTGATTCCTCCCTTTCCCCTTAGAGTAAGTAGCCAAAGGGATGATGTTGAAATCAAGTCAGATCCCGTCACTCCTCTATTCAAAACCTTCCTGTGTTCCCTGAGTAAAATAAAAGTCCCGCTGTAGTATATCACACCCTACATCATCTGTGTCTCCTGCTATCTCTCTGACCTCATCTCCTACCACTCAGCCTCTCATTTACTCCGCTAGAGTCTCACTTGCCTCCTTGCTGGTCCTTGAAAATGTCCAGTGTGTCCTGCTTTAGGGCCTTTCTACTTGCTCTTCCTAGAATATTCTTCCCCCACATTACTGATTTGTTCCTTTACCTCCTTCAGATTTGTTCTTACCTTTTCAGAAAAGCCTTTCCTGTCTTACTGTTTATTTATTTCATTTTCTGTTTCTCTTCACAATGGTGATCATTTCCTGACATATATTTATTCGTTTATTTATTAGCTACCCCAAATAAAATTTAAGATCCATGAGGCCAGCAGCTATGTTTAATTCACTGCTATCTCCTCAGTGCCTAGAACAGTTTCCGGCATATGGAAGGCACTCAGTGAATATTTACTGAATGAATAGATGAATATACTGTCAATATTGCAAACTATATTCAATAAATAAAATGACACACTTTTGTTGTTGTACTTTGGGAGTTTATACCAAATATAAGTCTTTATCAATTACATCTGTACTTGTGCAGTTGTTAACTACATTCCATTTGACTCAATTAAATTTGAATATAAAAACAAATATCAAGAAAATTAAATCGAAGGAAAATAAATAAAATATTTTACTTCATATTTTGGGTGTCAAAATCATGAAATTCTTCTGGCAATGTGATAGCATTGTAAGATGCTTCAAAATTCTCTTTTGGAAGGTCAACCAGTCCTGAAAAGGATCAAAAACCATACTCAATAAGCAACAATGCTATATAAAACAAAGAACTCCCAACTAACTCTATATTCTTTTACTGGACTACTGCTTATTCTAACTAGTTTTCCTCTATCTACTCCTACCCTTGTGTAGTCCATTCTCTATAAAGCAGACAGAGTAATATTTTAAAAAACTAATCAGATTAGATGCCTTAAAATGATTTAGTGACTTCTCCAGTGCATTTAATAAAATCAAAATTTCTAATTGGAGCCTCTGTAACCCTAAAAACCTAAGAGGCATCATCTAGTGACATTCACCATACTGACCATACTAGCCTTTTTGTTCCCTGAAAAAGTCAAGCATTTTTCCACCTCAAGACCTTTGCTCTTGCAGTTTCCTCCGCCTAGAATGCTATTCCCTCAGGGACTTTTTACATGGCTGGGTAGTTCTCATTTTTCAAGTCTGAGCTTAAATTCTATCTTCTCAGAAAGGCTTTTCCCAATTATTTTAACTAAAGTGAACTTCTCTGTTATTTTATGTTGTAGCACTTTATTTTCCTTTATAGCACAATTACAATTTACAATTACTGTAATGTTTTAAAAATACTTTAATTATCTGATTTCCTCACCTGACTGAAAAGGATCTTATTTATCTTGTTTGTCTTTATATCCCAGAGCCTAACATAGTGTTTGGTACAAAGTATGAAATCAATGAATATTTGTGGAATATGTAAAAAAATAATAAACGAACAAATGAACCATACTTGATATGAATATAAATCCACCTAGAGATTATATGAATATTTTAAATGAAGAAGATTAAAAAAAATCTGTCAATCCTGATTCAACAAATGTTGATTGAGGAAATGGTATGTGCAAGGCACTGAGACAGATATTATAAGAGATTCAGAAAATAATTATGACAAAGACCTTGCCTTCAAGAAGCTTGAAGACTAGTGACAGAGGCAAGATCCATACCTAAGTAGCCATAATACAAGGTAGAAAATAAAAAATGTCTTCAAAGTGAAACAGATGGTATATAAATTTTGAAGGTATTATATTTATGACATATGTAAATCTCTGGCACTTTGGAATGCTTAGGAATTTTTGATATGTCATAAATAGCAAGCTGCTTGGAATCTTGAGAATTCTGAAAACAATTACTGATATCTCTGTTTTGTCAATCACACTATTTCTAATTTCTCTTATAAAGGCAAAAACAGGCACGACAAACTAAATGACCCATTAAAAACAGAATATCAGAGTTTCTTATGCAAGTGTAGTGGCTTTAAGTATATGTCTTCCATAAATATGCAGGAACATTACAAGTTTTGGAAAGCATAACCTTTTCCTGCAGGTATAGAAAAAGAGCAAGGAAATGAATACAATTTATCCTCAACCATGGAAACTTAGATTCATTCAAAACTAAGTTTACATTCACCATACTAGCCTGAAGTATATTAAAAGATCCCACCCCCAATTAAAATGCAAAAGGGAACCAAGAAGGAGACAAATCAATATTACATGTATACCTGGGCAAAATGTCATCTTCATTTTAAGAAATGCTTCACTGCAATCTGCCAAAAGATATTTTGCCTTCCTGTTATAGATTCGAACAACTCCCAAAAGAAGGTGTCCTGAAGTTCGAAGTGCTATTTTCACCTTTCAATAATTTTTGAAGTATTAGAAGAGTAAAGATTAGGTTCATAAATCCTATTCTTTGAAAGTTACTGACATCGTAAGAATTGGTTCTCTTAAAAAAGCAGATATTTTGTATTCTTAGTTAAAGTATATCACTTTTTACCTTACCTTGCAAAATGATTTTTTTATTCTTATTCAAGGAAGTTAATCTAATATGGCATTTAAGTAAAGTATACTATTATTGGTATTATGAGAGGAATATAAACTCTGTAGTCAGAATTGGGTTCAGGTCTTGGTTCAGTTGCTGAGGCTGTCACTTAACCTTCCTGAACTTCAGTTTAATAAAAATGGCTACAGCTTATTTTTTTATTATTATTGTTTTTTTGGAGACGGAGTCTCGCTCTGTCACCCAGGCTGGAGTGCAGTGGCGCAATCTTGGCTCACTGCAACCTCCGCCTCCCGGGTTCAAGCAATTCTCCTGCCTCAGCCTCCCTACAATTTATTATATACTTATTTTATGCCAGGCATTGTCCTAAGAGCTTTTGATACACTAATTTATTTAATTTTGACAACAACCTCTATTTACAGAAGAAAAAACTGAGACTCAGATATTTTAAGTAGGATGCCCAAAGTAACATATTAAGTGATAAAGCAATAATTAAATATAAATTTGACCAACTCAAAACATGCTAACTACAGTTCACAGAAGCTAAGAAAAGCCAACCTCATAGGGTTGTTGTAAAGATTAAATAGACTTATAGGCATAAAGTCCAGCCCAGTGCCTAACACACCATAGGCTTTCAATTTGTCCTTCTCTAAAGTTGAAAAATACTTAACTTAAAACAATATTAAATGCTGTAATGCAAATTCTAATCACTGTTTTAATGTTTTATAATGAACATAGTACTTTACTGTTTATGACACATTTTCACATATTTTTGGATTTATAACCAGTCCTCTTTCTATCCTCCCCATTTGTTCATTATTTTCTAAGAGATGCTTATTAAGTACTTACTATGTCAACTGTATTTTGTTAGTGAATAAGAAAGGAATATGAATACGCATAAAATATGGCCTTTGTCCCTTAGGGTCCAATCTATCTATGATAGACATATGAAAAAGTTAATTACCAACAGAAACCAATAGGTTTGTTATAACACTAAATGCTATAGGAATTAAAGGAAAGACCATTTGACAAGTAAAACTTCCTTGAAAATGTATTTCATGATATAAGTGTATCTTAATGTCTTTCCTCCTCCAAAGTCATGATAAATACAAGCTATCATTTTAATCAGTAACATACCTTGGGTGAAAGAATTTTTTCAATGGTTATCTCTAGATTACATTCAAATACATGGGCCTTTGTGAGTTTCTTCTCCCAGTGAGCTGCAAGCCATATTTTGGCCAATGGCCCTCGTTTACTCATAAGCACATGTGTGTAGAACATGTTGCCTGTGTTCCTTACTTGTATTTAACAAACTAGAGAGAACACGAAAAGAAATTTAAAATTTTATTACAAAAACTTTTTATTGCTATAAGAAAAATATGTATTAATTCTACAAAATAACATTCAGATTATGTTCTAATTCAATTATTCAATACAATTTATTCTCTTGTAAATAAGAGAAACTTATTTAGAATATAAAATTATAACCTAATGACAAAGCTCTAGTAAATTGTGAACTACACCTCTACACCGGGCTTAAATGCATCCTGATTAATGATTTCTTCATACATGTCACTTATTTTATCCAAAAAAGGATTTGAGTTCTCTTCTTACTAACATGGTCAAATAAAGGAGGAAGGCTGAAAATATAAGATATGGAAATAAGAAACAAGAATAGGAAAAGGTAGACAAAACCAAGAAAAGCTAATACAGGGCACCTCTTTTCTAAAACTTAATAATTTAAGAAGGATTGGATTATTGATTTATACGCAGGTGTTGAATTTCATTGCCCTCTTCAAGATACTCTGGTTTATTCAACAATATTTTAATTTTTGAAGTTAAAATCACGGGACTCCAAAAAGTGGAGTGGAGTGGAGTTTCCATTCCATAAAGTGGAAAAATGAAGAAAACAAGAAACTATAAGAAAATAATTAGAAGGCAAGGGAAGAAACACGAATCAAATTTAAATGTTTTGAAATAAGAACGATAAAAGAAAACCTTCACTTAAAACAAAGAGAAGGAATTAATGCACATTTTTACAAACTGTACTATTCTTGGTAACACCATAGGGCTCTATCACTAAGCTAAAGATGAGAAGGGATGTTATAGCACTTTGGTTGACTTCTAGGGAAGAATCAAATTATTGCTTACATATAAGTAATCTTACACTGCCACTATGGAAGCTTCTTTTTGCTTCTTTTCTACTTAAGATACTGATAAAAGAGAAAACTGAGCCAAGACGAACACAAAGTCGGCGAAAGAATTAAAAACTTAGGTAAACTTCCATCAGTGTCTATTTGTACCGCAAGAATTCAATCATTATGCCCCAACTAAAGGTGACGCAATCCGCCAAACCATGTTCCCCTACGGGGCAGCTGGAGATTTTAATGCATATGGCTTGTACCTTGCGCTGGTTCCACTACTTTCCTTTTTAGTCTGTGTGTTTCGCTCTCTCGGAATAAATTCCTATTTATCTTTTTAAATGGCTCCCAGTGGTGTGAGGTACTTTTAAAATGTACTTTTTGGCCTGGCGCAGTGGCTCACGCCTGTAATCCCAGCACTGTGGGAGGCTGAGGCGGGCGGATCACTTTGATGCCAGGAACTGGAGACCAGCCTGGCCAACATGGTGAAACCCCGTCTCTACTAAAAGTACAAAAAGTAGCCAGGCACGGTGGCGGGCGTCTGTAATCCCAGCTACTTGGGAGGCTGAGGCAGGAGAATCGCTCGAACCCGGGAGACGGAGGCTGCAATGAGCCGCGATCGCCCTACTGCACTCCAGCCTGGGCGACAGAGGGCGACTCCGTCTCAAAAAAATCAAATGTACTTTTTAAGTGATGGACTTCTTAAAAGAGAAAACAAACAAAGAAAAAACCCAAACCCTGAGATTTGCTATTCCTGAGACATTGATTTTCCCGAGCACATATTACCTAACCTTTTTCCCCTCCCCACAAAATACGCACACAAACTCCCCCCGCACCCTCCCGCCCCACGTCCCGGAGGCTTTTTCAGTCTCCAGATTGAACTGACTTCGTGCAACGTGAAGCCACCGGGATGGGGCCACTCCGTGGAAACCGGCCCGCAAAGGGCAGGGTGGCGGCGGTGGCGGGGAGGGAGCGAAGGGAGGGAGGAAGGGGTCGGAAGGGGACCGGGCGGGGACCCTGGGAGAGGGGCGTGGGGAGAGAGGGCTGAGCCGGGCAGGGCGAGACCCTTCCGGGCGTGAGGGAGGGGAAAGCAAAGTGCAGGGGCTGGGAAGAGCTGACGGCCACGCTCAGGGGCAGGGGGACGCCAAAGGCTCCTCCACAGACGACTCCTCAGAGTTCCGGGCCGGGTGCTCACAGAGGGAAACTGAGGCCACAGCGCCCATTTTCTTCCGCGTGCGGGCGAGGAGACCCCGGGTCGCGCCTCCAGCCCCAGCTGGGCTGCGGGCGACGACCTTTCTTCCTCAGGCGGGACCCTCCGGGCTTGGCGCCGCGAGCTAACACGGCGTGAGGCGCCGGCGCCGGGTGCGTGTGGGAATGTGGGTGGCGGCGGCCCCCATCTCCCAGCCCGCCTACAGCACTCGGGGTCCGGCCGGCCTCTCAGGCTGCGCCCTACTTTCAAAGCCTCGTCTGAGGTGTGGCGTGCCAGAGCAGGGGCTGCGAGGAGTCGCCAAGTCAGCTTGGCCGGGTTCTTGGCGCCGCTGGGCGTCTGCAATGCGCGGCAGGCGCGGGGCGGGGAGGGGCGGGGCGTGGAGAAGGCGGGGCAGTGGGCGAGGGCGGGGCGTGCAGGGGACGGGGCGGAGCAGTGGGCGAGGGGCGGGGCGTGCAGGGGACGGGGCGGGGCAGTGGGCGAGGGCGGGGCGTGCAGGGGACGGGGCGGGGCGTGCAGGAGACGGGGCGGGGCAGTGGGCGATGGACGGGACTGACAGGGGATGGGGCGGGGCAGTGGGCGAGGGGCGGGGCGTGCAGGGGATGGAGAGGGACGGGCAGGACATGGGGAGGGGCGTGGAGGGGTATGGACGGGCGGGGCGGGGCAGTGGCTGAGGGACCGGGGGCAGGGGGCGGGGAAGGGCGGGCCAGCGACCGAGGGACTGGGCGCGGCGGCGGCGGCGGCGGCTGGGGGTACGGACAGAGTAGGGCAGTGCGCTAGAGTGGAGAGGACCGGGACTGAGAGGGACGAGGGCGCAGGGCGTTGGTGGGGACAGTGGACGGGGCAGGAGGGATAGAGTCAGACAGTGAGCAAGGCGCACCGGTCCTAGTGCGCAGTCTCCGGCTTTGTCCTGGCGCTCGGACCTGAGACACCTGAGCAGGGGCATGACAGGGATGGGGCCTGGGCCCCATAGTCCTGTTGTGAAAGGTGATCTTTCTGGCTGATCTCTGAACATCCCTATGATGCAGTCCAGTCTCTTCTCTTCCACTTATAGCTGGAGGTCACTGGAGAAATTCTTTAATCCCTTGAACCTCAGATTTTCTCATCTGTAAAGTGAAAATAATAAAAGTACTCGCGCCGTAGGATATTGTAAGAAATAAATAAAATGAACCATGAAAAGAGCCAAGCAATAATAAGTGCTCTACAAATATTAGCTATTATTATTATTGTTATTATTAAAAAGATTATTCACATTGACCTGCCCTTTGGGGACAGCAAATATTTTCCAGCCTGGAATATCACAGTTCTCAGTAGTCAAGGCCAAGTGCTAGAACCTGAGAAAAATCCTGCAAGAGCATCAGGATGCAAGGCTGGTTTCCTCTCTTGAGTTTGATAGTAAATACTAATAAATCTTGGAGCGGCAATGGCATCCAATATAAGGTTATTGATAAGGTTCAGGCTCCTGGCTGGGCATTTTCATGGGTTGTCTCATTGACTCTTCAAACAATCTCACAAAAGTAGTTACTGGTTTTCCCCTTTTGAATAAGGAAAGGGCTGGAGAAAAAATAGCAACCTGTCTAGGGTCACGTGGTTGGGAATTGTAGAGACAGGATTCAAATTGAATTCAAATTGAAGTTTAGCTCCCAATTTCCGACCTCAGGAAATGATGTCACGGCAACCATTCAAGAGGATGTCTGGGAGACACCCTTGGTGCCACCCTCATGTCTACTTCAATGCCAGCCCATCAGCAAGCCCATCACTCCACCTTCAAATATGACTTTCATCTACCCCTTCTCAAGATCTCCACCGACTCCACCCTAGTCTAAGCCACCTCTCTCCTGGAAAAGCTCCAACCTCCTGAGCGGTCTCCTTCCTGTCACTCACCTCCCTAAAGCCCATTCTCTACACCAGGGGTTCCCAACCCCGGGTGGGAACAGGGCCGCACAGCAGGAGGTGAACAGTGGACGAGGGAGCCTCACCGCCTGAGCTTCGCCTCCTGTCACATCAGCCGCGCATTAGATTCTCACAGGAGCGCGAAACCTATTGGGAACTGCACATGCGAGGGATCTAGGTTGCCCGCTCCTCACGAGAATCTCATGACCCCCCGCCCACTCGGCTCGTGGAATAATTGTCTTCCACAAAACTGGTCCCTGGTGCCAAATAGGTTGGAGACTGCTGCTCTACACTGAAGCCAGAGGGGTCTTTGAAAAATATAGATCATGGCCAGGTGTGGTGGCTCACGCCTGTAATCCCAGCACTTTGGGAGGCCAAGGCAGGCGGATCACCTGAGGCCAGGAGTTCCAGACCAGCCTGGCCAACACGGCGAAACCCCGTCTCCACTGAAAATACAAAAATTAGCCAGGAGTGGTGGTGGGTGCCTGTAATCCCAGCTACTCGGGAGGTTGAGGCAGGAAAATCGCTTGAACCGAGGAGGCAGAGATTGCAGTGAGCCAAGTTTGCGCCCCTGCACTCCAGCCTGGGCAACAGAGAGACTCTGTCTCAAAATATAGATCAAATCCTATTACCAGCTGTAGGGTCCAGCCCTACAGGGCTTAGCGGGTGTTCTCCCCGTGTGTGGAGAGGAGAGATTGTAATAAATAAAGACACAAGACAAAGAGATAAAGAGAAAACAGTTGGGCCCGGGCGACCACTACCATCAAGATGCGGAGACTGGTAGTGGCCCCGAATGGCTGGGCTTGCTGATATTTATTGCATACAAGACAAGGGGTCAGGGTAAGAAGGGTGAATCTTCTTCTTTTTTTTTTTAATTTTACTTTAAGTTCTAGGGTACATGTGCACAACGTGCAGGTTTGTTACGTAAGTATGTATGTGCCATGTTGGTGTGCTGCACCCATCAACTTGTCATTTACATTAGGTATATCTCCTTTTTTTTTGAGATGGAGTTTCGCTCTTGTTGCCCAGGCTGGAGTGCAATGGTGCAATCTCAGCTCACAGCAACCTCTGCCTCCTGGGTTCAAGCCATTCTCCTACCTCAGCCTCCGGAGTAGCTGGGATTACAGGCATGTGCCACGACGCCCACCTAATTTTGTGTGTTTTTTTTAAATAGAGACGGGGTTTCTCCCTGTTGGTCAGGCTGGTCTTGAACTCCCGACCTCAGGTGATCCACCGGCCTCGGCCTCCCAAAGTGCTGGGATTACAGGCGTGAGCCACCTCGCCCAGCCTACATTAGGTATATCTCCTAATGCTATCCCTCCCCCCTCCCCCCACCCCCCAGCAGGCCCCGGTGTGTGATGTTCCCTACCCTGTGTCCATGTGTTCTCATTGTTCAATTCCCACCTATGAGTGAGAACATGTGGTGTTTGGTTTTCTGTCCTTGCGATAGTTTGCTCAGAATGATGGTTTCCAGCTTCATCCATGTCCCTATAAAGGACATGAACTCTTCCTTTTTATGGCTGCATAGTATTCCATGGTGTATATGTACCACATTTTCTTAATCCAGTCTATCATTGATGGACATTTGGGTTGGTTCCAAGTCTTTGCTATTGTGAATAGTGCCGCAATAAACATATGTGTGCATGTGTCTTTATAGCAGCATGATTTATAATCCTTTGGGTGTATGCCCAGTAATGGTATGGCTCGATCAAATGGTATTTCTAGTTCTAGATCCCTGAGGAATTGCCACACTGTCTTCCACAATGGTTGAACTAGTTTACAGTCCTACCAACGGTGTAAAAGCGTTCCTTTCTCCACATCCTCTCTAGCACCTGTTGTTTTCTGACTTTTTAATGATGGCCATTCTAACTGGTGTGAGATGGTATCTCATTGCGGTTTTGATTTGCATTTCTCTGATGGCCAGTGATGATGAGCATTTTTTCATGTGTCTGTTGGCTGCATAAATGTCTTCTTTTGAGAAGTGTCTGTTCATATCCTTCGCCCACTTTTTGATGGGGTTGTTTGATTTTTTCTTGTAAATTTGTTTAAGTTCTTTGTAGATTCTGGATATTAGCCCTTTGTCAAATGGGTAGATTGTAAAAATTTTTTCTCATTCTGTAGGTTGCCTGTTCACTCTGATGGTAGTTTCTTTTGCTGTGCAGAAGCTCTTTAGTTTAATTAGATCCCATTTGTCAATTTTGGCTTTTGTTGCCATGGCTTTTGGTGTTTTAGTCATGAAGTCCTTGTCCATGCCTATGTCCTGAATGGTATTGCCTAGGTTTTCTTCTAGGGTTTTTATGGTTTTAGGTCTAACATTTAAGTCTTTAATCCATCTTGAACTGATTTTTGTATAAAGTGTAAGGAAGGGATGCAGTTTCAGCTTTCTACATATGGCTAGCCAGTTTTCCCAGCACCATTTATTAAATAGGGAATCCTTTCCTCATTTCTTGTTTTTGTCAGGTTTGTCAAAGATGAGATGGTTGTAGATGTGTGGTATTATTTCTGAGGGCTCTGTTCTGTTCCATTGGTCTATATCTCTGTTTCGGTACCAGTACCATGCTGTTTTGGTTACTGTAGCCTTGTAGTATAGTTTGAAGTTAGGTAGCGTGACGCCTCCAGCTTTGTTCTTTTGGCTTAGGATTGTCTTGGCAATGTGGGCTCTTTTTTGGTTCCATGTGAACTTTAAAGTAGTTTTTTCCAATTCTGTGAAGAAAGTCAGGCTGGGCGCAGTGGCTCACACCTGTAATCCCAGCACTTTGGGAGGCCGAAGCAGGTGGATCACAAGGTCAGGAGATTGAGACCATCCTGGCTAACATGGTGAAACCCCGTCTTTATTAAAAATACAAAAAATTAGCCAGGCGTGGTGGCGGGCGCCTGTAGTCCCAGCTACTCGGGAGGCTGAGGCAGGAGAATGGTGTGAACCCAGGAGGCGGAGCTTGCAGTGAACTGAGATGGCGCCACTGCACTCCAGCCTGGGCAACAGAGCGAGACTCCATCAAAAAAAGAAAAAGAAAGAAAGAAGGAAGGAAGGAAGGAAAGAAAGAAAGAGAAAGAAAAAGAAAGAAAGAAAGAAGAAAGAAAGAAAGAAAGAAAGAAAGAAAGAAAGAAAGAAAGAAAGAAAGAAAGAGAAAGAAAGAAAAAGAAAGAAAGTCATTGGTAGCTTGATGGGGAAGGCATTGAATCTATAAATTACCTTGGGCAGTGTGGCCATTTTCACAATATTGATTCTTCCTATCCATAAGCATGGAATGTTTCATTTGTTTGTGTCCTCTTTTATTTTGCTGAGCAGTGGTTTGTAGTTCTCCTTGAAGAGGTCCTTCACATCCCTTGTAAGTTGGATTCCTAGGTATTTTATTCTCTTTGAAGCAATTGTGAATGGGAGCTCACTCATGATTTGGCTCTCTGTTTGTCTGTTATTGGTGTATAGGAATGTTTGTGATTTTCGCACGTTGATTTTGTATTCTGAGACTTTGCTGAAGTTGCTTATCAGCTTAAGGAGGTTTTGGGCTGAGATGATGGGGTTTTCTAAATATACAATCATGTCATCTGCAAACAGGGACAATTTGACTTCCTCTTTTCCTAATTGAATACCCTTTATTTCTTTCTCTTGCCTGATTGCCCTGGCGAGAACTTCCAACACTATGTTGAATAGGAGTGGTGAGAGAGGGCATCCCTGTCTTGTGCCAGTTTTCAAAGGGAATGCTTCCAGTTTTTGCCCATTCAGTATTATATTGGCTGTGGGTCTGTCATAAATAGTTCTTATTATTTTGAGATATGTCCCATCAATACCTAGTTTATTGAGAGTTTTTAGCATGAAGTGCTATTGAATTTTGTCAAAGGCCTTTTCTGCATCTATTGAGATAATCATGTGGTTTTTGTCTTTTGTTCTGTTTATATGATGGATTACATTTATTGATTTGCATATGTTGAACCAGCCTTGCATCTCCGGGATGAAGCCAACTTGATCATGGTGGATAAGCTTTTTGATGTGCTGCTGGATTCGGTTTGCCAATATTTTATTGAGGATTTTTGCATCGATGTTCATCAGGGATATTAGTCTAAAATTCTCTTTTTTTTGTTGTGTCTCTGCCAGGCTTTGGTATCAGGATGATGTTGACCTCATAAAATGAATTAGGGAGGATTCCCTCTTTTTCTATTGATTGGAATAGTTTCAGAAGGAATGGAACCAGCTCCTCTTTGTACCTCTGGTAGAATTCGGCTGTGAATCTGTCTGGTCCTGGACTTTTTTTGGTTGGTAGGCTATTAATTACTGCCTCAATTTCAGAACCTGTTATTGGTCTATTCAGGGATTCAACTTCTTCCTGGTTTAGTCTTGGGAGGGTGTATGTGTCCAGGAATTTATCCATTTCTTCTAGATTTTCTAGTTTATTTGCATAGAGGTGTTTATAGTATTCTCTGATGGTAGTTTGTATTTCTGTGGGAGTGGTGGTGATATCCCCTTTATCATTTTTAATTGCATCTATTTGATTCTTCTCTCTTTTCTTCTTTATTAGTCTTGCTAGCAGTCTATCAATTTTGTTGATCTTTTAAAAAAACCAGGATTCATTGGTTTTTTGAAGGGTTTTTAGTGTCTCTATCTCCTTCAGTTCTGCTCTGATCTTAGTTATTTCTTGACTTCTGCTAGCTTTTGAATGTGTTTGCTCTTGCTTCTCTAGTTCTTTTAATTGTGATGTTAGGGTGTCAATTTTAGATCTCTCCTGCGTTCTCTTGTGGGCATTTAGTGCTATACATTTCCCTCTACACACTGCTTTAAATGTGTCCCACAGATTCTGGTATGTTGTGTCTTTGTTCTCATTGGTTTCAAAGGACATCTTTATTTCTGCCTTCATTTTGTTATGTACCCAGTAGTCATTCAGGAGCAGGTTGTTCAGTTTCCATGTAGTTGAGCAGTTTTGAGTGAGTTTCTTAATCCTGAGTTCTAGTTTGATTGCCCTGTGGTCTGAGAGACAGTTCGTTATAATTTCTGTTCTTTTACATTTGCTGAGGAGTGCTTTACTTCCAACTATGTGGTCAATTTTGGAATAAGTGTGATGTGGTGCTGAGAAGAATGTATATTCTGTTGTTTTGGGGTGGAGAGTACTGTAGATGTCTATTAGGTCTGCTTGGTGTAGAGCTGAGTTCAATTCCTGGATGTCCTTATTAACTTTCTGTCTCGTTGATCTGTCTAACGTTGACAGTAGGGTGTTAAAGTCTCCCATTATTATTGTGTGGGAGTCTAAGTCTCTTTGTAGGTCTCTCAGGACTAGCTTTATGAATCTGGGTGCTCCTGTATTGGGTGCATATATATTTAGAATAGTTAGCTCTTCTTGTTGAATTGATCCCTTTACCATTATGTAATGGCCTTCTTTGTCTCTTTTGATCTTTGTTGGTTTAAAGTCTGTTTTATCAGAGACTAGGATTGCAGCCTCTGCTTTTTTTTGTTTTCCATTTGCTTGGTAGATCTTCCTCCATCCCTTTATTTTGAGCCTATGTGTGTCTCTGTACGTGAGATGGGTCTCCTGAATACAGCACACTGATGGGTCTTGACTCTTTATCTAATTTGCCAGTCTGCGTCTTTTAATTGGAGCATTTAGCCCATTTACATTTAAGGTTAATATTGTTATGTGTGAATTTGATCCTGTCATTATGATGTTAGCTGGTTATTTTGCTCATTAGTTCATGCAGTTTCTTCCTGGTGTCGATGGTCTTTACAATTTGTCATGTTTTTGCAGTGGCTGGTACCGGTTGTTCCTTTCCATGTTTAGTGCTTCCTTCAGGAGCTCTTGTAAGGCAGGCCTGGTGGTGACAAAATCTCTCAGCATTTGTTTGTCTGTGAAGTATTTTATTTCTCCATCACTTATGAAGCTTAGTTTGGCTGGATATGAAATTCTGGGTTGAAAATTGTTTTCTTTAAGAATGTTGAATATTGGCCTCCACTCTCTTCTGGCTTGTAGAGTTTCTGCTGAGAGATCCGCTGTTAGTCTGATGGGCTTCCCTTTGTGGGTAACCCGACCTTTCTCTCTGGCTGCCCTTAACATTTTTTCCTTCATTTCAACTTTGGTGAATCTGACAATTATGTGTCTTGGAGTTGCTCTTCTCGAGGAGTCTCTTTGTGGCGTTCTCTGTATTTCCTGAATTTGAATGTTGGCCTGCCTTGCTAGGTTGGGGAAGTTCTCCTGGATGATATCCTGAAGAGTGTTTTCCAACTTGGTTCCATTCTCTCCGTCACTTTCAGGTACACCAATCAGATGTAGATTTGGTCTTTTCACGTAGTCCCACATTTCTTGGAGGCTTTGTTCATTTCTTTTTACTCTTTTTTCTCTAAACTTCTCTTCTCGCTTCATTTCATTCATTTGATCTTCAATCACTGATACCCTTTCTTCCATTTGATCAAATCGGCTACTGAAGCTTGTGTATGTGTCACGTAGTTCTCATGCCACAGTTTTCAGCTCCATCAGTTCATTTAAGGACTTCTCTATACTGTTTATTGTAGTTAGCCATTCGTCTACTCTTTTTTCAAGGTTTTTAGCTTCCTTGCAATGGGTTTGAACATCCTCCTTTAGCTTGGAGAAGTTTCTTATTACCGATCATCTGCAGCCTTCTTCTCTTGACTCGTCAAAGTCATTCTCCATCCAGCTTTGTTCCATTGCTGGCGAGGAGCTGTGTTCTTTTGGAGGAGAAGAGGCGCTCTGATTTTTAGAATTTTCAGCTTTTCTGCTCTGGTTTCTCCCCATCTTTGTGGTTTTATCTACCTTTGGTCTTTAATGATGGTGACGTACAGGTGGGGTTTTGGTGTGCATGTCCTTTCTGTTTGTTAGTTTTCCTTCTAACAGTCAGGACCCTCAGCTGCAGGTCTGTTGGAGTTTGCTGGAGGTCCACTCCAGACCCTGTTTGCCTGGGTATCACCAGCGGAGGCTGCAGAACAGCAAATGTTGCTGCCTAATCCTTCCTCTGGAAGCTTCAGCTCAGAGGGGCACCCGGTCTTACGAGGTGTCAGTTGCCCCCATACTGGGGGGGTGCCTCCCAGTTAGGTTACTGGGCGGTCAGGGACTCACTTGAGGAGGCAGTCTGTCCGTTCTCAGATCTCAAACTCCGTGCTGGGAGAACCACTATTCTCTTTAAAGTTGTCAGACAAGGATGTTTAAGTCTGCAGAAGTTTCTGCTGCCTTTTGTTCAGCTGTGCCCTGCCCCTAGAGGTGGAGTCTACAGAGGCAGGCAGGCCTCCTTGAGCTGCAGTGGGCTCCACTCAGTTCAAGCTTCCTGGCCGCTTTGTTTACCTACTCAAGCCTCAGCAATGGCAGACGCCCCTCCCCCAGCCTCGCTGCCACCTTGCAGTTTGATCTCAGACTGTTGTGCTAGCAGTGAGCGAGGCTCCATGGGTGTGGGACCCTCAGAGCCAGCCGCGGGATATAATCTCCCAGTGTGCAGTTTGCTAAGGCCGTTGGAAAGGCGCAGTATTAGGGTGGGAGTGTCCCAATTTTCCAGGTGCTGTCTGTCACGGCTTCCTTTTGCTAGGAAAGGGAATTCTCCAACCCCTTGTGCTTCCCGAGTGAGGCAATGCCCCGCCCTGCTCCGTGGGCTGCACCCACTTGTCTGGCAAGCCCCAGTGAGATGAACCCAGTACCTCAGTTGGAAATGCAGAAGTCACCCATCTTCTGCATCGCTCACGCTGGGAGCTGCAGACTGGAGCTGTTCCTATTCAGCCATCTTGGCGCCACCATATTAGAAGGGTGAATCTTCTGAGTGATTGACAAGGTGAAGGAAGTCACGTGATTACAGGATAGGGGGCTCTGCCCTTCCCTTTTAGGTAGTCAAAGCAGAGAGAGAAGGCAGCATAAGTCAGCGTTTTCTTCTCTGCACTTATAAGAAAGATCAAAGACTTTAAGACTTTTACTATTTATTCTACTGCTATCTACTATGAACTTCAAAGAGGAACCAGGAGTGTGGGAGAAGCATGAAAGTGGACAAGGAGCGTGGCCATTGAAGCACAGCACCACAGGGAGGGGTTTAGGCCTCCGGATGACTGCGGGCCCGCCTGGATAATATCCAGCCTTCCACAAGAAGCAGGTGAAGCAGAGTGTTCCCTGACTCCTCCAAGGAAAGGAGACTCCCTTTCGCGGTCTGCTAAGTAACGGGTGCCTTCCCAGACACTGGCGTTACCGCTTGACCAAGGAGCCCTCAAGCGGCCCTTATGCGGGCATGACAGAAGGCTCACCTCTTGCCTTCTAGGTCACTTCTTACAATGTCCCTTCAGCACCTGACCCTATACCCACTGGTTATTCCTAGGTTATATTAGTAATGCAGCAAAGAGTAATATTAAAAGCTAATGATTAATAATGTTTATAATAATGATTGGTAATTGTTCATGATCATCTCTATGTCTAATTTGTATTATGACTATTCTTATTCTGACTATTTTCTTTATTATACTGAAATAGTTTGTGCCTTCAGTCTCTTGCCTCGGCACCTAGGTAATCCTCCGCCCACAACCAGCGGGTTTCCCTTTTAAAGCCTTTTAAGCCTTCCTGTTGTTCTTAGAATAACACTGAAACTTCCTCCTAACAACTACAGGGCCCTACATGGTCTCCCCCTTACTTGTAATTCTGGCTTCATTTCACGTGGGTGGATTTACCTTAACAATTAGGAATCTTCAGTTTCAGGACCCTCACTTGCAAGGCCTCCTCCAAAGCCCTGGGAGAAGCACAGCAGTATTTTCCTATGGGTGTGTGTTTTTGTTAAGTTTTCGAAAATAAGATATTTTACCGTAATCTTTGAAGATGGATGTCTCTTTCCACTTTAACTCTCTGTCTGTCACTGTGTGGGTGGCAATGGAGTAGCTGAGGGGTGTGGCTGACGCAGAGCTGAGTTACATGTACATTTAATACAGGTTCAGAGGGATCAATTTATGTGGTTGACAGTCACTTCGATCTATAGTCAAGTCATTGCTATCTATCTTAGTTAGGAATGGCTTCCAGGAACACATCTACGCCCACCATGCTGACTCATCCTGCACTGTGACATGAAGGTACAGGGCCATAAATCGTTTTAATGCATAGCGTCAGGAGTACATATATATTGGATAAGAAACAAAATTTGAAACATACAGAGTCAGAAACTAGTCTATCGAGAATTCTTCCAATCATCAGACATATTAAACTATAAGCAGAGGATTTAATTCTCATCAAAGCCCAGTTAAAGCAGAAGTTCTTTCCTGTCTATCTGTCTACCTGAAATCTATCTGACAACACAACATGTGCAATTATAAATGCACTGCACATTTTTTCTTCATTTCTAATAGGAATTGCGCAAACTAGAAGATATCAGAGTCTGGTGTTCATAGAGCACAAACATGCAGCAGTGCTGTAAACAGCTAGTACATCCATGTGTGAAGCTGCATGTTTATGATCTCATTGTATTGGCTCATGTCTTCTTTGGCCATCTCTGCCTTCCCGATGTCAGGTGTTTACAGATGAACTAGCCTGCAGATCATAACAAAAGTAGTGATTCATTAAGAGAAATAGATACATTTCAAACCAAAGTGTCAGGGAAACAGGAGCATAGGAGAGCCAGGGTTACACCATTTTAAAATTGACTCCATCGTGAAACAAGCAAGACCCATTCCTTGCCAGTCATGACCCATGTTCATAAGACGTTTACAGTTGAGAAAACAACTTAAAGATACCTGCAAGGACGCACTCCTACAACAACGGAAAGTCCAGATGTTCCAGTATCCATAACAATATGTGCTTTCAAGATAATTATAGTTGTCTTGATGGACATTTTTGATTGTAGTCATTTTGTTGGATGTATACATTAAAATGCCAAGGATAACTTTCCTTAAATCAAAAAGTGCTAAATTTTGTCATGCTGTTAGTCCACCAGCATGTAGACAAATCTTAGCCTTTACATAGATAAGTCCCCTCTGTAAGAAAAACTTAGAGATGAGGTATTTCTCCTCTTGCTTTCTGAGGATGCCCTGCTCGGTAACCGAGTAGCTTTCACTAAAACTACTTCTTCTCAGTGCCCTCTGCGACTCTCCTTGAATTCCTTCCCGTGTGAGATCCAAGAACCCTCTCTTGGGGTCTGGATCAAGACCCCCTTTTCTGGCAACAAAAGTAATTAATAGACTTAGATTGTTTGATAATCTAAGTAATTAAAAGGAGTGAATCATATAAATACATTGGGAAAGTTTTAATTTCTCAATTATTTAACATGAAACACTGACATACAGGAAGAAAATGTAAAACTCCTAATACACCCCTACAATAGGGACAGCAACAATAAATTGGCTAATGTACCATCCACTCAAATACCATTTAAAATTAGTCACTTTACAAGAAGGCTTACAGCTTATATATAAGAGGAACATAGAGGCTTCCCCAAAATTGACAATAATCCTAAAAATATACATGGCATTTTTACAATGTTTAAATTGTTTAAAGTACCCACACAAAAAAAATTAATCTTGTAGAGGAGAGACTGAATTATTTCCACAGTCTCTTTGAAGAAAATAAAATAATAAAATTGTTATCATGACTAGATGATCAAAGAAGTTACAGAAAAAAATGTAGAGAAAAATTATTATAGAGCCATATCATGCAGTTAATATTGTGCTACTTTTCTAGATTTTATGTTTTGTGATTTTTGCCAGCTAAAGTTTATTTCATCTCTCATTATAAAAGAAAAAACTCTTTCTAGCCTAATTCTGTATTTCTGACTTTGCATTCTTTCTCTTAGGGTATATGATTGATACCCTAAATCGTATAAACTTCAGGCCCCACAAATCTGGACTTGCTCCATCCTGTTCCCCTGGCTTCCTGGGTTCCAGCCATATTAGATACCCTCTGTGCCCATTGCTTGGGAAAGTGCTGCACACAGGAGTGCCAGAAACATATTGTAAATGAATGAATGAATGACTCAAAAACTGGAATGCTGGACTATTAACTACACAAAAACATAAATTTTGTCTGTTTTATTTGTTGCGACATTCCCACATCCAGAACAGTGCCTGACACACAGCAGGTGCACATTAAGTATTTTTTAAAATGAATCCAAGCCTGGTCAACTGCAGACAATGTTTCTTTCCATTCTCTCCAGTTATTCCCAGTTTGTTACAAAGCACTTTCCAACATCCTCTCCACAGCTCTGAGAGGTGTCATTTTTACTTTAGAGTTAAGGATAAGTGAAGGATCAGAGAAGGAGGCCCCAGATCACTCTGTCAACGGCAGAGCTAAAGTTCAAACGCAGATCTCTGGAGCCAGAAAGCCTCTGGGGCCATGGCCCTCCCAGTAAGATGCGCCACAACGGGAAAGCTGATGGTGAGTGAGCCAGTCCTGCAACCCGGAACGGGCTGATTCACGGAAGGATTGCTCTGTATGGACACTAGGTGGCGGCCACACACAGCGTAATTACCGTAGTCTTCGATGGCGCGCGTACGAAATCTAAACAAGTTTGTCAGAAGCCCAACTTTGAACCCTCAGTTTCATCTGTTTGCAACTGTCCTGCTTTTGCTTCCTTGGGTCACAGTTTTCTCCGCTGTCGAATGGAAATATTAACACGTACTCACTGGTCAGGTCTGTTACAATGCCTGTGCATTGTAGGTGTTCAACAAACATAAGTTCTTCTTCTGACAGCGACCAAGGTAATCTGCAGCTATGTGAGATTCTTCTTAGCCCTGCACATTGGCCAGAGAATGCTTTCCAGAAGGAATGAGAGGGAAATTCCCTCTCCGCATCCTAATCCTTATATGTTACCTTATATGGAAAGAAAGGCAGGTGAAAGTCTTTAGAGATGTGATTAAGTTAAGAATCTTGACATGCGGAGATTATCCTGGGTTATCCAGGTGGGCCCTAAATGCAATCATGTGATTCCTTATAAGAGGTAGACAGAGGGAGATTTAACACTCACAGAGCAAAAGGCTATGAGAAGACAGAGACAGAAACTGAAGTTATGCAGCCTAAGTCAAGGACTGCCAGCAGCCACGAGAAACTGGAAGAGGCAAGGAAGGAATTCTCTCTTAGAGTCAGCAGGGAGTACAGTCTGGCCAACACCTTGATTTTGATCCAGTGAAACTGACCTCAGCCCAGTGAAATAGGAGCTGTCCCCATGACCTGGGGAGGGTTTGGGCAAAACAAAGCAGGGTGGCAGAGACAGGAGAGAACTGGGCCTCAAGATATGCTGGGAGCAGGGATGGGTGTGCATTACTGGGATCACCAGATTCTGTGTCTGCCTACTTACTGGAGAGATAACAGAGGTGTTGTCCTAGAGTTGCCTTCACACACATTAGAGACTGTCTTGCCCCAGACCCTGCCAGAAGGAGGGAGCAGGGATCCTATGAGCCTGACATCACTGCTTCCTCTCTTCATGGCACCACTCCCCCACTGTGGCTGATCAGAAGAGCAACATCATATAATAGTAAGAGCCCTGCTTAGACAGAAGACAGGCCTGAGATTCAATGCCACTGCTGCCATTTACTCATTGTGCTTTTTTGGGGGGCAACTTAGCTCCACTAAACTTCAGTTCCTTCATCCATAAAGTGGAGATTTAATATCACCCTTGCAGAGATGTTGAGTGTGTTCAGTGCACTAAGATCTTTACAGCGCCGTGTGTGGTGCTGGTATTTAGGGCAGATGATTACTAATGATAATGAATAGTTTACATGACACATAGTTGTTGTTAGATGACAAGCACGGTTGTGTTTTCCATGGATTTACTCATTTATTCCTCACAAAAACCCCAGGAGATAGGCAATACTATTATCCCCATTCTACGGATGATAAAATCAAGGCATAGAGAGTTTAATGACTTGCCCAAGGGCACACAATCAGTATATTGTAGAGCTGGGATTTGGACACAGGCAGTGAGGCTCCAGGCTGTACTTACGATCACTAAACTATCCTGACTTTAAAAATGGTAGCTGTTGGCCAGGCGCAGTGGCTCAGGCCTGTAATCCCAGCACTTTGGGAGGCCAAGGCAGGCAGATCACCTGCGGTCGGGAATTCGAAACCAGTCTGACCAACATGGAGAAACCCCGTCTCTACTAAAAATACAAAATCAGCTGGGTGTGGTGGCGCACGCCTGTAATCCCAGCTACCTGGGAGGCAGAGGCAGGAGAATCGCTTAAACACGGGAGGTGGAGGTTGCGGTGAGCTGAGATCATGCCATTGCACACCAGCCTGGGCAACAACAGCGAAACTCCATCTCAAAAAAAAAAAGGTAGCTGTCCATTGCGGCACTATTTACAATAGCAAAGACATGGAACCAACCCAAATGCACATCAATGGAACCAACCCAAATGCACAATAAAGAAAATGTGGTACATATATACAGTGGAGTGCTATGCAACCATAAAATCGAATGAGATCATGTTCTTTGCAGGGACATGGATGAAGCTAGAAGCCATCATCCTCAGCAAACTAACACAGGAACAGAAAACCAAACACTGCATGTTCTCATTCATAACTGGGAGTTGAACAATGAGAACACATGGACACAGGGGAGGGGAACAACATATACCAGAGCCAGTCAGGGGTGGGGGGCAAGGGGAGGGAGAGTATTAGGACAAATAACTAATGCACGCAGGGCTTAAAACCGAGATGACGGGTTGATAGGTGCAGTACACCACCATGGCACATGTATACCTATGTAACAAACCTACATGTTCTGTACTTGTATCCCAGAACTTAAAGTAAAATAAAATAAAATGGTAGCTGTCATTATTAATAATAATTGCTAAGATTTACTGAGCACTGCTTATGTTCCAGGAACATGTTGACTCATTGCATTTGCTCAATAGTCCTATGAGGTAATTTCTGTTATTATCCCCACTTTATAGAAGAACAAACTGAAGCACAGAAAAGTTATGCTATATGCCCAAGGTTAGAGAGCTGATAAGATGCAGATCTGGTATTCAAACCTAGGCAGCCTGATGTCAAAGTCCTCCCTTTTAATTACCTATGTATGATGATCATGATGAGGATGATGATAATGAAGAGGAAAAGGAGAAAGAGGGAGAAGAGACGGAAGAAGAAGGAGGAAGAAGTGGAAGACAAAAATAAACCTCCTTTATACCAATAACCTATGATATGTCCAGGTGTCAAAAGTTAAGCTGACCAATCAGATTCCCTCTCTATAAACTGCGACTTAAAGAAATAGCAGGAGAGTAAAATCTTTAGCAGTGGGAGTGGACCTGAAAAGATGCAGAAAGACTGGAAAGTAAAGCCCAACCCTTGACACAGTGCTGTGAGGAAGCCCAGCCACCTGGAGGGTCATGTATAGGCATTCCATCTTACAGCCTCAGCTGAGGCCAGCATCACCTGCCAGAGGGCAACAAATAAGCCTTTGAGATAAATCGAGCTGCAGCCACCACCTGACTGCAATCATTGGAGAGACCCAAAGCCAAGAACCGCTCAGCTGAGCCCAGAACTATGGGAAACATAATTTACAACAATAATAAATGGCTGTTGCAATAATAAAGGGATTGCTGTGTTTAAGTTTGGAGGCAGTTTGTTACACATCAATATACACCACAACACATGGGCTCTGTAAGGTGTCACAGCTGACCCAGGACTGGAAGCTGGCTCTCATGTAAAGGTGTGAGAGATTAGATCATTTCTAATCAGTCACAGTGTAAGTAAGCCCTGCCTTGCCTGCCCTGACTCACTCTAGGTTTCACATCTTGAACTGTTCTTGCTCCTAAATTTTTAGCTTCTGACCTCATGAATCCTTTTTCCATCTCTGTCCCCTCCTCTCTTCATCCTGGATGCTAGGCTTAGGTGTGCAGTCCTGTTTTTGCTGCCTTAGCAGAGAAAACCCTGGGTTTTCCTGAGACCATGATCCACATGCTCCCTCTGGTGCTCACTGTCCTGCATGGCCATGATTTCCCACCCAGACCTCTAGGACCAACGCTGAAGATGTAATTTCCATCCCAACTCCTTGTCCAGCATCTGGGCTCAGCTTTGGCTTTCTCTGACCTAGGATCAGGAAGTGAACGTTGGTTCCAAATGTAGGGTCTTGGAGAACAACAAATATCCCACCAGAAGGGCAGGTTCTGGAGCTCTAGGTCTATCTTCCCAGATTGGAGATGGAGGGGTTGGCAGGGGTTTTTGGTCTTTGGGCCCAAATGTGGAAATCAGGGAGAGGCAGAGGGTGCTAGTGATTAGCATCGGGCATGGGAGAGCAATGTCATTTCTACTTTGCATGGCCAGGCAGATGTCTCTCAAGATAATAGTGGCTAATCAGCTTGTCCATTTGTAATAGTCATAGTTTCACAAATCAGAACATAATCATGCAGCAATAATAAGGTGCCATTCATTAGCCTTTCCAGTGTAACCAAGAATGGTTACAGTGGCAATTGGTAATAATAGCAAAAAGCTGTGTCAGTCTGGGACAGGTAGGAGACAGAAACCACACCAGTTATTTTAACACAGAAAATTTAATATAAAGAATTGCTAACTAGGTATAAAGTTGTTAACTGGGTGACTGAAAGGTTATAAAAAGAACTTTAAGGTAGGAATTGCAGCAAGCATCTGCCATCTCCAGGGCTGAGGGAACAAAGAAAAGAGGCAGAAACTATCAAACTTTAAAACTTACAGGAGGAATTCCCTGGAGTTTAAATTCAGCTATCTGAGAAAGGAACTCAGCTCAGCTGGGGCTGGTGTCTCTGAGCTCAGGAAAGGGCCAGGTAGGTAAGGCAGGGACCCACACTTCAGGGGAGGAGGGACTGGCATCTGAAGCTGATGTCTCTGAGCTCCTGGAAGGGGCCCCAGGAGTCTGGAACCTGGATCCTGGAGAAGTCTGGTGCTTCATGAAGGAATTGCTGCCTGTTGTGAAGAAACATTGCTGGGAGATGCTCATAGGAACAGGAAGCCCACAGGGAAACAAGAAGAAGGAGCAAGCCCCTTTTCTCTCCTCTAGACTTGTAGTCTAACTCCATGCTGTATATTGGCAAAGCCTAACAAACTCTAACAGGGAGCAGCTGGTAACACCAAAAGGTGCTTTGCAGGGACCCAGCTCCAGCATCACAGAGCAGGTATCATTTATATTACCAAATACAAAAATCACAGGTTGATCTGACTACAAACATTATACTTATAATGCACCCCCTCCACTCTGCCTCTACATGCAATCGATTTACTTTTTCAAAGCCATAAAAACAATGTTCTAGCAACATACAGGTAGATTTTCAAAAACAAAAAGGGCTACCGATCATCAGACCATCTTAACACCATGACTTTTTTATTTTCACCTTTTCTGTTTTAGTCTTTCTTATAGGCAGATACAATTTTTCAGTTATGACTGCAGCACCCCACACAACTGAGTGTCTCTGCTGTATCACAAGCCTGGTTGCCTGCTGTTACGGAGGTTGTTGTCACAAACCCTCATTGAATGAAATGCCATTTTCATATTGATTTCTCCTCTTTGATTCTTTGAACATCTGGATCATATTCCTCAAGACCATTCTAGCTGCAAATGAGGGAAACTGCTCAAATCAGCTTAACCAAAAACAAATTGATGTGTGTGGCTGTGTTGGGGGGTGAAATTGACTGGCTTCGGTCCCTGGAAAGAATGCAGGAGTAACTCACAAAACTAGGACCTAAAACCAGGGACCAAAAAGAGCCAGCGCTCTTCCTCTCTGTCCATCTGTTGTGTGGCCCTCTCTCTACTTCTCTTTGGAGATTAGCCTCTTTCCTTCCTACTGCAGACAGGTCTTCTTTACCTGGTAGGAACATGGCCACCAGCAGCCTCAGCCTGAGTGTAATAGAAAGAGCTTCCAGGTAGCAATCTCAGGGAAGGTCGGTGACTGGCTCTGTTGGTTCACATGACCATCCATTGGGCCAATCATCTTTTTAGGGCAACCATGAATTATATCATTGGCCAGGCCTGGTAATATACCCATGCCTATGGCCAGGGTGGTTACAGGGCCTAATATGTTATCAGATGAAGGGGAATGGGAAGGCTTCCTGGGAAGACAGAAAACAGCCACTAAGTCACTACACAGGGGTTGGAATTTTCACCATAGCAACACTTGGTAACCATTACTGCACATCTAGTTCTTTGTTTTAACAATTGCCTTGTGAAAAATTCCCAAGGATAGGGTTACTGCCATGGTGCTTGCCAGAGCACTAGAGCACATTTGTGTTTTCAGTCGAAAAGTGTGTTCACATCCAATACCTTATGTGTGCCTCACCAAGAAATCCCAAGTGACAGAAAAGGAACCAGAGACACAGAGAAGCTGAGTGACAGATCCAGGGATGCACAGCAGATGAGGGCAGAAATGAACCCAGAGCCCTGGCTTTCTGACTCCCATTCCAACACTCTGCCCCTGAAATATCACAGTGAAAGGTTAGACTAATGGGGAGAGTGTTAAAGCCCAGTGTCATCTCCGTCCAGTTAAGGGAGAGAGCTTCGTCTGCTGTCTTCCCCTCGGAGGAGCTGGGCCAGACCCCTTGAGCAAACCGGCTGGCAGCCCCTGCCTTCGGAGCCCGCTCGAGCTCTGATGGGGGATGTCCCTCCGCTGGACCTGGCGTCCTCCCAGTGGGCGCTGTCCGCACGCAGCTCCTCCAGGACACTGTGAAGATGCCTCAGTGTGAGCAGGAGACTCTGATCTTGAATCTGCATCTCAGACTAGGAGAGAGAAGGAGCCTGTGAGGGGATGCGTGGAGCCCTGGATGTTTCCCCATCAAGCCCCTTCCCTCGCTGTCTCATCGGAGACCAGCCCACTTGTGATTCGCACAGCCTCACAGAAGCCGTATCCACCAATGCCTCAGTTTCTTGCTCTGCAAAGCAGAAAGCAAATTGCTTACTTTTCAAGGCTTTCATGAGGACTGAATGAATTTGCCCATGGGAAAATCCTTTCAAGGGGTCAGCGAGGTCAAAACTACTTTGGTTACAATAGTAAGACGTTATTTTCCTTTTTTTGCTTTCATTTTCTTATGAGCATACCATGGAGTTTTCCAGAAGCTAATGACATGTAATGTCTCAACAGACTGAATGCAGGAAGCAGCTATGAGAATCCAGCTGTGTTCTATTAAGACAGACATTAAAGCAATTTGCAACAATGTAAAATGGGGCTACTCTTCCCACTAAATATTTGCTTTGAAAAATATAGTTATTTTGAATAAGTAATGTTTTATTAACATATTATGAATTTGTTATTATTTTAGAATGCATTAGTAAATATATTAAAAATGTCTCAGCTTTGGCTTCTAATTCAGTCAGTATTGTTATATATAACTCACGTAAACAAAAGCTTTTTGGTGGCCTTAATAATTTTTTGGGGCATAAAGGGTTCCTAAGACCCAAAAGTTTGAGAACTGCTGCATTAGAACTCTCCTGTCATCTTCAGCCATCTCCATTCTTTCTCCCATTTTTTCCTGAGAATTTTTTCCCATACATTTTCTCTCTTTTTCTTTCTGTTTATTTATTTATTTATTTATTTTTGAGGCGGGGTCTCACTGTGTTGCCCAGGCTGGAGTGCAGTGGTGCAATAACGGCTCACTGCAGCCTCGAGCTCCTGGGTTCAACTGATCCTCCCACCTCAGCCTCCCGAGTAGCTGGGACTCCAGGTGCACACCACCATGCCCGGCTATTTTTTGTAGAGGCAATGTCTTGCCATGTTGCCCAGGCTGGTCTCAGACTCCTGGGCTCACGCGATCCTCTCAACTCAGCTCCCAAAGTTCGCTTTCTCTTTAAAAATGTTAAAATTCTATTTTTTGACTAAGTAATTCTTAACACATGATAGAAAATTTAAAAGCTACAAAAGGACATATATTTAAAAGTCTCTCCCACCCACCTCACTTTATCCCTCAACTCAAGCGTCCTTCTCCAGAGGCAGCCACTGCAAATGCTTCTGTTTTTCCTTCCAAAGCTGGTCGGGGCAACACATGGTTAGATATACAGATTCTCAGCCTCTCTCTTTCTCTGTCTCTCTTTGCAAGAGATACTTATGAACATTATTTCCCCACTAAAAATAGTGTTTTCATTTTTGTGACAAGCTGATTACAAGTAAGAAGACCAAGTCTGCATCCTCTACTCAAGCATGAGTAACACTGCCAAGAGAATATGTAGCTAGAAAGAGAGATGTGAGGCCAGGCCCAGTGGCTCCCACCTGTAATCCCAGCACTTTGAGAGGCCGAGGTGGGCAGATTGCCTGAGGTCAGGAGTTCAAGACCAGCCTGGCCAACATGGTGAAACCCGGTCTCTACTAAAAATACAAAAAAATTAGCCAGCCGTGGTGGCATGCGCCTGTAATCCCAGCTACTAGGGAGGCCGAGGCAGGGGAATCACTTGAACCCAGGAGGCGGAGGTTGTAGTGAGCCGAGATCGTGCCACTACACTCCAGCCTGGGCGACAGAGTGAGGCTTCATCTCAAAAAAAAAAAAAAAAAGGAAAGACGTGAAGCAAAGGTGTAGTCGGCCTCCCTCAGAACACTGGGACGACTCAGGCTGCAGAGCGAGTGGTCCTGGGCCCATTTTTTCCTAATTCCTCAGAAAACATTCACTCTGTGTTTTCTCGATTTTAGGGTTTTCCTCCTGCACATATTTCTGGGTATGCGCCTACAAGACCACAGTGGGGTTCCCAGCACGGAGGTGGTGATGAGGCATCCAGGCACCCACAGTTTCAGGGAGCATAAGGAAGACAGCTGCCCAGTGCTGGATGCCTGCTGACTGTGGGAAGCTGCAGTCCCTGCTGCTGGAATTCCCTGGTCCCATGAGAAACCCTACTGGGTCAGCCCTTCCTCTGGGGTGATGACAGGGTTGGGTCCCAGCTGGCCTGTTGCCTGGCAACCCAGAAAGGTCATTTTTGGACAATCCTGTCTGTCTCTCCCCAGGATGAGAGGTGTGTATATTGAGAAACAAACCTCTTCTGAGGTTCCCTGAGCTGCCTCCTCTCTCCTGGCTGGTGTCCCCACACACTTGGGGGCACCCCTCTTTTTTCGGACTTGGAGAAAATACCATAATGAAAGGCATAAGCCTGGCTTCCTGAGCAGCAACCACAGGACCAAGTAACATAACATCGGGTCAGGAGAGTTAGTGCTCCATGGGGGAGGCCCTTGCCAATGGGAAATGAGAGACAGGAACGAGCTGGGCAGATGAATTTCCTCTCGTTCTCTCTCCCCCAATGTGCAGTTCCTCCTTCAACCCCTGCAGAGCATCTCAGCTGCTGAGACACCCACTGGGCCTCCTTAAGGCAACTTCTGAAGCCGTAGGCTGCTTGGTAATACAATGTCTGGCGTAATTGCCTGGCATAGCATTGGCCTCTGCTGCCACACCCTATGTTCCTCCCTATCACCACCCTTGGCTTGTACTTCCAAATAAAGTGCTAGTTTCTCAATCCTTGTCCAAGCCTCTGCTTTCTAGGGGACCCAGGCTAAGACATTGGGTGTACGCATGTCCATCTGGGTCAGGGTTATAATAGCCAGCACCACGGTGCCAAGTATTCATTAAGAGGATTACAAGCATCTCTTCAGTGAATCCTTACAATACCCCATATGATATTGGTACTATTGTTATTCCCATTTTGTGATAAGGAAACTGAGGCTCAAAGAGATAAATCCCCTGCTAGAGCCACACAGAGGACTCAGCACACACGGAGGACTCAGTGTCATTCTAAAACCAGTCTGGCCAGCACCACACCCAGCACCTCCCATATAGGCCACGACCTACTTATCCCTGAACCTGAGATCACAATTGTGCATTGTGTGGTAGGTCCCAGAGGGGAGACTGCAGGGTCCATACCGTAGCCTGCAGCCTCTGCCCCAGGGGGGACCCGGGAAGGAAAACCAGAGATCTTTGGAAAATATGTAGTCGGGGCATCAAGGAAAAGCAATGCAAAACCTTACCAGCTCCTTTCTCAGCCACTCCAAGGTCTGCCCAAGACTCGGGCTGGGCTCTTCTGCTATTTTCATCTCAGTGTTCTTAGGAGTGACCTTGACACTGACCTGGTTCTGGGCCCGAGGGATCTTTGACTTGTACATTCCCCCAACTCTTTCAGACTGGCAGCAGGTTCTGGCCAAATCACTGAAGATGGAGTTAATGAGAGCAGGAAGTAGCTCACATTGAAAAATGTAATCTGGCTTTTTTTTTTTTTTTAAAGGGCTTTAGTGCTCTGAACAGAACAAGGAGGAAGGGAGGGAGACCATTATGGGTCCGAGTACCTTGGAGCCTGCTGTTCCAGAAGCCAAGAATATGTGATGCCAACAGGATCACAGAGAATGCAAAGCTTTAAATGGCAACAATATGGTTATTATGAAAATAGGCACTCTTTTCTAAGGGTTTGCTTTGTGCTTTACATATAAACTATGTATATGTCTCATTTGGCATATACCTCCACGGGTGTCCCAAGTCCCTGTCCTCATTTACTTATCTATAGAGTCCAGATAAAGGAAATGCTCACTTTCCAAGTTTCCTTGTTTCTGGAATCCCCATGTGACCCATTTCCAGCAAATGAGATCAAAGCAGCAATTTGCTGTTAGGCTTCCAGAAAAACTTTTACCTTCCTAACAAAAGGGAAAATGTCACTGCTGCTTCCCTTTTACTCCTACTTTCTCCCTTTTCCTTCTGCCTTGAATGTGGATGTAATGTCTGGAGCTATGGTAACTGTCTTGCGACCATAAGACAAAGCCCAAGAAAATCACAGAGCCATTAGAAATCATTGCACCCCTGACTCGGCAACAGCATCTATATGAGAAAACAGACCCGATGTCTAATGGAACACTCTGCTACTTGCAGGCAAACACAGTCCTGACACACCATTTATTCTTCCCATTGTTATAGGAAAGGGGTCCCAACCCAGACCCCAAGGGAGGGTTCTTGGATCTCATGCAATAAAGAATTCAGGGGGAGTCCATACAGTAAAATGAAAGCAAGTTTATTAGGAAAGTAAAGGAATAAAAGAATGGCTACTCCATAGATAAAGCAGCCTTGAGGGCTGCTGGTTGCCCATTTTTATGGTTATTTTTTGATGATCTGCTAAACAAGGGGTAGATTATTCATGTCTCCCCTTTTTAGACCATATAGGGTAACTTCCTGATGTTGTCATCGCATCTGTAACCTGTCATGGCGCTGGTGGGAGTGTAGCAGTGAGGATGACCAGAGGTCACTCTTGTGGCCATCTTGGTTTTGGTGAGATTTAGCCACTTTCTTTACTGCAATTGTTTTATCAGCAAGGTCTTTACGACCTGTATCTTGTGTTGATCTCATCCTGTGACTTAGAATGCCTTAACCATCTGGGAATGCAGCCCAGTGGGTCTCATCCTCATTTTACCCAGCCCCTATTCAAGATGGAGTTACTCTGGTTCAAATGCCACTGACATCATCACACCGTGAAGCAGGTATTCAATTCTCTCTTTCGCTAAACACTTATTGAATGTCTACTGTGTGCCGAGTTCTGCTCTAGACACTGGGGTTATCAACCAAAATCAGAGAAACAAAGGCCCTGCTTTCCTGGAGCTGACATCCTAGTAGTCATTGGAAACAAACAATCAAATTAATGCTACGATGAAAATATGTAGACTCTATTCTCACATAGGTCTTTTAAAATATAAATTTATTGGGCAGGCGTGATGGCTCACGCCTGTAATACCAGCACTTTGGGAGGCCGAGGTGGGCGGATCACCTGAGGCCAGGAGTTCGAGACCAGCCTGGCTAAACATGGTGAAACCCCGTCTCTACTAAAAATACAAAAATTAGCCGGGTGTGGTTGTGGGCGCCTGTAATCCCAGCTACTCAGGAGGCTGGAGCAGGAGAATTTCTTGAACCCAGGAGGCGGAGGTTGCAGTGAACTGAGACTGCAAATGTATATATATAAATTTATTCTATTCACATGCACTAGAAACTCCAAACCAAGAATTAGCATAGTGACCCCAGATAAAGATGTGAAATGACTGGCAAAGCAAACTCAGCCGAGTTTAGGGAAACTTGCCCTCAATCTGGCTACACAAAATATCCTCAGATAGAGCTCCCCTGAAGATGAACTCATATAAGAACACACAAGGAAGCCATTCACCATAAATGAGAGTCAACAGACACCATTCACCCCCTTCCCCCAAGAACTTCAGATGAAGATAATTAAAAGTATTTTGAGGCCAGGTATGGTGGCTCACACCTGTAATCCGAACATTTTGAGAGGCCAATGCAGGAGGACTACTTGAGGCCAGGAGTTTGAGACCAGCCTGGGCAACATAGCAAGACCCCTTATCTAAACAAAATAAAATACAATAATTAGCCAGGTGTGGTGGCACGTGCCTGTAGTACCAGCTTCTCAGGAGGCTGAGTCAGAAGGATTGCTTGAGCCCAAGAGGTCGAGGCCGTAGTGAGCTTTGATTGCACCACTGCACTCCACCCTGTCTCAAAAGAAAAGTATTTTGAAAAGAAGAGGCATACAAGAAGGAATCAAAATCATACAAAAAAAGAGACACTTTTTTCTTTTTCTTTTTTTGAGAAGGAGTTTCACTCTTGTCACCCAGGCTGGAGTGCAATGGTGCAATCTCGGCTCACTGCAGCCTCTGCCTCCCAGGTTCAAGCAATTCTCCTGCCTCAGCCTCTCAAGTAGCTGGAATTATAGGCACCTACCACCACATCCAATTAATTTTTGTATTTTTAGTAGAGATGGGGTGTCACCATGTTGGCCAGGCTGATCTCAAACTCCTGACCTCAAGTGATCCACCTGCCTCAGCCTCCCAAAGTGCTGGGATTGCAGGCATGAGCCACTGTGCCCGGCCAAAAGAGACACTTTTTAACAGGCAGATTTGAAAAAGAATGCAATAGAATTTATAGAACTTAAAATTACAGTAAGTGTTTATAAGTTAAAGAGAAAAGAGTGTATATTTATTGTAGCACCAGAAGACAGAGCTAGTGAGGTAGGAGATCAGCAAGACTTGTTCTCCGAGCACTGGTTACAATCCCAGTCACAACTCCACTGATCAAAACAGGATCTGTTCAAACAGGATGCCATGAAGTAGGCAGCCAAAACCAACTAAGATCGAGATGGCAATGAAAGCAACCTCTAGTTGCCCTCATTCCTCACGGAATGTTAATTATAATTCATTAGGATGCTAAAAGACACTCCCACCGGTACCACGACAGTTTACAAATGCCATGACAATGCCTGAAACTTACCTTACATGGTTTAAAAGGGGAGGAACCCCCAGTCTGGGGAATACCCCACCTCTTTTCTTGAAAATTTGTGAATAATCTACCCTTTATTTAGCATATAATAAAAAGTAGCTATTAATATAGTCAGCCAGCAATCCACAAAGGCTACTGTGCTGATGGGGTAGCCCTGCTCTGTCTATGGAGCAGTCATTTCCTGTACTCTGTTGCTCTAATAAACTTGCTTTGCTTTCACTTTACTTTGTTGGCTCACTCTTGAATTCTTTCCTTTATGAAGCCAAGAACCTCCCCTGACTGAGCCCCAATTTTAGGGTTCACCTGCATCACTACAGCGGTAGCTGTACATCACTACCTTTGTCCTATACAGTGGGTATAGGACAAAGGGAAGCAGACTGGGATTCAGTAGGAGGAAGGTGTTGTTTAGAATTTTTCCAAGCAGTGGGTGCTCAGTCAATGGAGGGCAGAAGCATAGCCCAGATGATCAAAGAGACTGGAGTAGGGGCTCTACTGGCTTGGAGATGGGACCTGGAGTTCCTTCCAAGTATAAGACTGACGAGGCAGGAAAAGGGATATTGTAATAAGGAGCCAGGATATCTGGGTTCTAACTCCAGCTCTGCCAAACTGTCTGTGTGAACTTGGGCCTCGTCTTTTCCCTCTTAGGCATAATGAGGCTCAAAATAGTTACTAAATCGAGTTGTAAGGAATGTCACATTTCTTATATCCTGGCGTTTACAGCTTGAGAATCGTTCTGACTGCCACATGCAGACAAAGTCTTATGTGCTATTTCTCGTAGTTCAGCTGTTACTTTTCAGAACCCAAGAGAATCAGAGAAACTCCTTTCTGCCACATTTATACCCCTTCTGAACACAAGGGGCCAGAGATGATTCCTTCAAACAGGCCACCAGGCTTTGTCACATGCCCTGTAATCATGGGACAACTGCCTGGAGCCGAGATGAGTGCCCCAGCCCAAAGCAGCCATCTACAGACTGGACAGGAGAGTGATCATTGGCTCATGGGTGACTGGTTTTTGAGCAGCTGCATTTTGGGTGGTGACCAGAGGATCCAATCAGATCTTCCCTCAGACATGTTGAATTTGCCACAGATTGGGAGGTTGGATTACCACTAGAACACTGTGTACCAAATGTCTCTAAAACTCCATACTTTCAAACAACAATCATTTATTATTGCTCATGTTTGCAGATCTGCAGCTCTGAGTCTGCTCCACAGATCTCCTGTCCTTCTCCTGGAATCACAGGGCTGCTGGGGCACATTCTCTTGGCAAAGGAGAAGAGAGCAAGTGGAACCATGGGAAGCCTCTTGAGGCTTAGCTCAGAACTGTCACACTGTTGCTTTTGCCATGTGCCATTGGGCAAAGTTAGTCACATGGCCAAGCCCAAAGCTAAGGGGCAAGGATGTATGCTCCGCTACAAAGAGATCCTGGCAAGTGTGTGGACTTATGGAGGGATGATGAAGTGAGACTCACAATTCTGTGCCGGAAGACAGCACTGCGTGGAAGTGGGGCCACAGGCCTGGAGGTGCCCAGAGGGAAGGTGGCAAGTGGAGACCATGAGGTGGCAAGAGCAGGAGGCCGGAAGTATTGTTGGCTCGGTATCAGACAGATGTCACTGTGGCAGTCGGAGGAGACACACAAAGAACTAGAGAGAAAGTGATCTCAGGATAAGACTTGAAGGATGATTTAGAACAACCAGCATTATTGATCTCCTCCTCCAGACCAGGCACCACACTAAGTCCTTGACATGCATAACCTCATTTCATCTTTAAAACCCGATGACTGCAATTCCAAAACTGTGCACTGAGGCACCCTGAGGCACTATAGAAAACTCACAGAGGCACTGAAACATACCTAAAATTTTGAGGGAAACGCAATGACGTCTGTCAGATATTATGCCAACAACTATTATTATGTCGTTTGAAGCTAACTGCCTAATAAACAACTGCTACACCTTCTAGGGGGCCTGGTGCACTGTGAAAAATTACTAAGATGCTAAGGGTGTCATGAATTGATAAAGTTTGGGGACCTCTGCCTACGAGGTTGGTACCATCATTATCTGCATTTTGTAGACGATTACACATAGATCCTATTATTCACAACTTATTACGGATGTGAAAACTGAGGCTCAGAGAGGCGTGGATTTCCCTAGGATCACTTCAGCCAATAAGTGACGGACCTAGATTAGGACCCATCCTCCCTCACCTTCGTGGGGAGGGTCTTGCCTGTTGTCTTGAACTGGTGGAGACTCAAGCAGGGGCTCAGTCTAGGCCTAGGGTGTTCTCTGCCCTGTACAGCAGTGGTGCTGACAGGAGCGGAACTTGGCAGTTAGAGTCTGGCGCTCTGTCTTTGGCTTCCAGCGCTGACACCTAATTACCCTGGAAAGCCATTTCTTGTGGTTAACTTGTTTTGATGCATTTTCATTTATTTTTAATCCAACTCTTAGGATTCTGGCTCAGAGCACATTTTACTTCATGGGCTCAGAAAGGCTTGGCACATGACGATGACGGGAGGTGGGGACAGGAGGCATGCAAAGGGAAAGAACTTAAACCCCTGAGTGGGGAAAAATGTCACTAGCAAATACGAAAGCCAGAATGGCCAGCCATTCTTCACCCATGGGCAGCCAATACTACTATGGATTCCCTGGGCCAGACTCTGCAATGCATGCTTTGAACACAGTGGTGAGCGAGAAAGACCTCACGCTTGACCTCTCAGGGCTTGTGGCCCGCAAGTAAGAGGGTCCATTCGCAATCAGCTGGTTCAAAATCTTACTTTATACCACAAGCCTGGTGCATATATATATATGTGGCAAGTGGGCTCGTGTATTTTATATATATAAATTTTACACATATAAATATATATAATATACATATATGGGAAGCAGGCTCATGTATTTTATATAAATATAATTTTATATAAAAGTGTATACAATTTGGCCAGGCATGGTGGCTTACACCTGTAATCCCAGCACTTTGGGAGACTGAGGCAGGTGGATTGCTTGAGCCCAGGAGTTCGAGACCAGCCTGGGCTATATGGTGAAACCCCACCTCTACTAAAAACACAAAAAATAGCCAGGTATAGTGGTGCGTGCCTGTAATTCCAGCTACTCAGAAGGCTGAGGCAGGAGAATTGCTTGAACCCAGGAAGCGGAGGTTGCAGTGAGCCAAGATCAAGCCACTGCACCTCACACTGGGCAACAGTCTCAAAAGAAATAAACATATATATAAAATTTTATATAAGTATAAAATTATAAAATACATAAATGAGGCTAGTCAGTGGCTATGACAAAAATTGCTGGCTGTCCCTCAATATCCCTTCTCCCTTTCACATATGGCAAAAGACTGCATTTTTCAGACTCATTTGCAGGTAAGTGTGCCATGTGATTAAATCCTGGTCAATAGGATACAAATGGAAGTGATGAGTTCAATTTCTAGGTTAAGGTTCAATGTCTTCCCTTAAGAAGAAGGAAGAAGGTGCCTCCTACTTCCCCACATCCTCCTTCTGCTGATGCAATGTAGTGACAAGGGCTGGAGCTGGAACAGCAAGGTGCAAGATGGCCGAGCAACAATGCAGAAGGAGCCCGGGTCTCTTGTGGTTGGTGAACCAGCATGTCAGCCTGAGCTGCCAAGTAGATTTTTCCATGAGAGAGAAATAAGTTCTGTTTTATTGAAAGCACAATTATTTTGAGTGTCTTTTTTAACAATATAGCAGCAGAGCTAGAGCAGAAGCCAAGTCCCCTAATTTCCCCTTCCAAGCCTTTTCCATAATCCCCCCACCTGTGTATTTAAGTGTTTTACCCTCTTTCAAGTGTTTTCTTTTTCATGACCATATCTGCTCCTTACAATAGCTCTCTGTGAAGTCCATAGGAGAGAGAGGAGTTCTGTGACCCTCACTATGCAGACAGGGAAAACAAGATGCAAGTGTGGTAGGTAATCTGCCCTGAGACACGAGGGTGGAGCTATTCCCATTCCTCAGATGGGGCAAGTGGGCTCGGAGATGACATTTAGCTCTGCCTTTGTGTCCAACTCCTAGTCCAGGGCTCTTCCCATCCTTTTGGGCTGCCTCCCCTCCTATTCTGGGCACCTGAGCCCTCATCCCCTTTGTAAAATACAGATGAGGTGGAGGTCTAGAAGAGAGAAGTGTCTGCACTGTTAGAGCTCCCGAACCCTTCAACCTGCCTTTCCTACCACACAAGCACATGCAGTCACTCTAACCAGAGGGGGCATGGGGACAGAGCACCAGTTGGCTCAGGGGGCCCATTACCATCTCTCTGCAGCTCCTTACCTCCTTTCAGCAGGCTCTTCCTTTAGCCTAGACAAGCAAGGCCAGTAATCCAATCATTTGTCTTCTGCCTGTGCCCTGTACTGTGTCCTTTTGGGTCCTGAACACACGTGCCCTGTACTCTGTGTCTTCTAGCAAACGCTGTGGGCCCCACTCATATTCCCTCAACACTCACCTTCTCCATGCGTGCCTACGGCTTCCTACTGTAAGCAGGTCTCACTCTGCTTAAGGAACATGCTTGACATGTGCAGAGGACAGGCTAGAAGTGCAGGAATAGCCCCCAACAATGACAAACAGGTGCTGGCGGATAAATAGTGAGAGCTCTGTGGCCTCAGATCTCAGGTGGAACAGTACTCAGTCCAATGGGACTGAGCCCCAGTTGCTCATGGCAGTCAGGGACTCACTAATGCACCTGTAGTGTATTGGATGCACTTCCTTCTTGCTCTCACTTCCCATTCCTCTGCTGTGCTTCCTGGGATGACTTTCCAAATAAACCACTTGCACTCAAATTCTTGTCTTGGGCCTACATCTGAGGGAACTCAACTCACAACACATATGCTATGGTTTGAATGTTAGTGTCCCTTCCAAAACCCATGTTGAAACCTAATCCACAATGCAACAGTATTAAGAAGTGTGGTCTTTCGGAGGCAATTCATGAGGACTCTGACCTCATGAATGGAATTAGCACCCATATAAAAAGGCACCAGGCTGAAGGGAGCACTTTCTTGCCTTTCTGCTTTCTGCTATGTGAGGACACAGCAATGAGGCACCATCTGGGAAACAAAGCAGCCTTTATCAGATGCCAATGTTGGTGTCTTGATTGTGGATGTTCCAGCCTCCAAATTTCTGTTCTTTTTTTTTTTTGAGACAAGGTCTCTGTCACCCAGGCTGGAGTACCATGGTGCGATCACAGCTCACTACAGCCTCAAAAGCCTGGGTTCAAGAGATCCTTCCTCCTTAGCCTCCCAGGTAACTGGGACTATAGGTGTACATCATTATGCCTGGCTTATTTATTTATTTATTTGTAGAGATGGGGTCTCTCTATGTTTCCCAGGCTGTATCAAATTCCTAGGTTCAAGCAGTCCTCCTGCCCTGGCCTCCCAAAGCACTGGGATTACAGGAACGAGCCACTGCACCTAGCCACGTTCTTTATAATTACCCGGTCTCGGGTATTTTGTTATAGCAGCAAAAAGGGACGAAAACAGTATCCTATCCATACGTGCCTTGTACACATGAGCACTCTGCACCCCTTTCCGCACATATCTATCCTGTGCATATCTATCCAGGAGTGTTCTGGACATGGGTATTCTCACCCTCTGTTCTGCACCTGTGTCCTATACACACCTGTCTCATGCTGGTGTATCTAGGACACCATCCTGCAATCTTCTGTTGTATGGAGGGCAGCCCTTGACCCTGGTGAGATGGTGGAGACTCTGGTGAAGCAGAATAGGACGGACAGAAGAGCATCCCTTGGCCTCAACTAGCCTTGAGTGTGACTCTGTGGCAGGTAGCCTGACTGATCTGACCCCAGTTTCCTCCCATGGTGATTAAACTCCAGGTTACTGACCTGTCAGAATGCAGAGGGACCAGGTGCAGGGATCGCCACACAGAAGGTGCACCATCAAACAACCTCCATCACGGTGGCTCCTCCTTTCTCCCTGGGCCTGCCCTCTCCCAGGGGAGTGGCTTGGAATCTACCTAACCCAGCACTCCCAGTGTGCTAGGCCCTGTGCTGGCACATGGATGAGAGACAATAAGACATTTGCCCTCAAGGAGCTGCTAGGTAGGGGCACTCACTCTTGTAGAAGCTAGGATTATGGATCTTGATTTCTGTTTTTCCTCGCCTCCCCCCTTACTCTTTCCACAGCAGAGAGAGAACACAACACTCAAGACTTTTATTCCCCAAGGCTGGGAGATCCATACAGACCAGGTGGAAAGGGAGGCAGAATGCCAGCCAGGCCGGCTGAAGATTTGTGTGCATGTGAGTGTGAATGTGGACACTCCTTCCAGGGCCTGGAACATGACCACCAATTAATTTCTTGAAATCCCTGAACCATGTCCCATTGCCACGATATCAGCGCCACTCCATGAAAGTATTAGAGCTCCAGGAAAACCAGATGAGCCAGGCTGGTGCCAGGGGTAAATATGACACAAGTAAACAAACCCAAACACCAGATCCCAGCCAGATTCTGAGAAAGGTGAAAACGGAGTGGGGTATGGGTGATTAGGCATGGGGCTGATCAGCCCCAGGACTTTAGGTCTATCTGAGGTCCCTAAATCAACCTGGAAGTCAGGGGCCCTTGGGTCTGATTGGAATTTTGCTTCCTTAGTGTAGCGGTAAGATAATCTCCTTTCTCCTTGGCACTCAAATTTCCCAAATGTGAAAATGGAGATGATAGTAACAGCCTCTCAAGACTTTTGTGAGTGCTTTGAAAATTACGATGAAAGCCAGCAGAGTGGTTACAAGCACTGGGCTGAGGTCTGGTTCTGAATCCCCAAACCATGAGACAACAGTTGTGTAACTTTGGACACAGAGTTATTAGCTATTCTGTGCCTTGATTTCCTCATCTTAAAATGGGGGCAATAATAGTATCCACATGATCAGGTGGTTAAGATGATTGAGTGAGTTAATATTTGTAAAAACATGTGCCTCGCCTATGGGAAGGGTTATGTAAGTGTTTGTCAAATAAAATAAACACACAAATAATTTGCTACTATTACTTCATCTCTGGGCTTAAGTGTTGTTTCCTTTTCCAGGAACTTTTCGTTGCTCCACTCACTCCCTTCACCTAGAAAAACCTCAGTCTCCCTTGGGTTATTACTTCTTTCATATAATCCTCCTGGACATACTACAGGCTGGCTTCAGAGATTTCTTACCTGGAACACAAGGGATCAGATTGCATCTGTATTTCTCAATCTTCAGCTATTCATATACCTATTCAGTTTTTGCCTACTGATTCTACTGTTTTTTGTTTTTTTTTTGTTTTTTTTGAGACTGAGTTTTGCTCTTGTCACCCAGGCTGGAGTACAATGGCACGATCTCGGCTCACTGCAACCTCCGCCTCCCGGGTTCAAACAGTTCTCCTGCCACAGCCACCTGAGTAGCTGGGACTACAGGTGCACGCCACCACACCCAGCTAATTTTTGTATTTTTAGCAGAGACAGGGTTTCACCACGTTGGCCAGGCTGGTCTCAAACTCCTGACCTTGGGTGATCCACCTGCCTTGGCCTCCCAAAGTGCTGGGATTACAGGGGTGAGCCACTGCACCCAGCCTGATTCTACTTTGATTGACTTAGTTCTTCTGAGTGACAGAAAATCCCAAGTAATAGTAGCTTATACAAAATAGATGTTTGTTTCTCTCATCCACAAAAGTATGAGGAACTATCCCATTCTGGTGTTTCCATCTAGTCATCTGCAATCTAGGTTCCTTCAATTTTGCTGCTCTTCCAACCTAATAGGCTTCCACTTCATGGTCCAAGATGGTTGCTCAAGTTCCAGCCATTGGTTTTGCATCCTGGCAGCAAGAAGGACAAAAAGAGAGTAGGAGGGCACATTCCTTTCCTTTCAGGAGACTTAACGCATTTTTCCCACACTACCTCCTCTCATATCCTAATGGCTTACCATCCACTTGGCCATACCTAGCTGTAAGGAAAGCTGGGAAATGAAATCCTTCTGGTGCACTGTACCCACTATTGATCAAGGCTTCTATTACGGTGGAAGAAAGAGTGAGTGAATACTGGAAGAAACCAGCAGACTTTATTGCATCAACTTCATATAGACTCATTTTTCTGCCCTTACTCTAGTCAATATCACCCATGATATCTTTGGTTTCATGAGTTACTTATATATTTCCTTTTTTTTTTTGAGACGGAGTCTCGCTCTGTCACCCAGGCTGGAGTGCAGTGGCGCCATCTCGGCTCACTGCAAGCTCCGCCTCCTGGGTTCATGCCATTCTCCGGCCTCAGCCTCCAGAGTAGCTGGGACTACAGGCGCCCGCCACCACGCCCGGCTAATTTTTTCTGCATTTTTAGTAGAGATGGGGTTTCACCATGTTAGCCAGGATGGTCTTGATCTCCTGACCTCGTGATCTGCCAGCCTTGACCTCCCAAAGTGCTGGGATTGCAGGCGTGAGCCACCGCGCCCAGCCGCTAGTTATATATTTTCTAAAACAATTTAAAATAAACAGTCATTGAAATGAATAAACACATATAGATATGTGTGTATATAGGTACAGAGATAAATGTAGTGTAGCTGATGGGGGAGTGTTACTCTAGTTGCCCCCAATGACACATGCCTCCTGGTATTCATATCCTTATATAGACCCCTCCCCTTGAATCCAGGCTGGCCCATGACCTGCACTAAGCAATAGAATGCAGCAGAAGCAATGCCAGGCCAGTTCCAAGCCTCAGTTTTAAGATGATCCAGCAGCTTTTTCTTTTGTGCTCTGGGGAAAGTTGCCTGCCATGTAAGAACTCTGACTACCTTGAGACCACTATTATGTAAGGAAGCCTACGCTAGCTACATGGAGAGATCATGTAGGAGAGAATGAAAAAACCCAGCTGACAGTGAGAACCAAGCCCATAGACACACAGTCAAGTCTACGCCAGCTCCCAGCTGTTTGTGCCACCCCAGCTGACGCCATACAGACAAGAGCTGAGCTATCTCAGCTGAGAGCAACCCAAACTGCAAAACTGTGAGAAAATAAATAATAATTTTCTTTTAAGCTGCTGTTTTGGGGTGGTTTGTTATGCAGTGATAGATAATCAAAACATCTTTATTTACTTAACACCTAAAATTATGTTATATACCACTACCTTTTGGAATATTGCAGACTAAGTGTTTCTCCTAATGTTCCTATAGGAAGTCCTCATTCTGTCTCACAGATCACACATCTCCACAGATACATAATTACAGCTATCTGATTGAGGACTTTCTGTGTGCCAACATGACCATGATAATCTCCCACATGGTCTGTTTTTCTCTCTTGTCCCCTTGCACCTGGGAGTAACCAGAGGGAGAATGTTTTCACAGTGCAAATCTACTCACATCACTCCCTTGCTTATCACCCACTGCCATGTCCACAAGGGAGTCTTCTTAGGTTCAATACACACTCAGGCTCAGCGGCTGACCATAAGCCACACTTGGCATTGACCTACTCTGAAGGATACAGCTCAGGAACTTCCACTTGCTAGCACAGCACGCAATGCTCTTCTTGGCAGGAATCTTTGCCTCTTCCGGCAGAGCAGTACCACTCAGATGCCAGATGAAATCCCCATCAGGTGGGTGCAGGAACGATCCTGGCTTAAAAGTTTCATGTCCCACAGGAGCCAATGCCTTTGGACCTGTCCAGTTACATGAATCACTATATTTAGGACACCAAAAGTATGACTTCCCACCAGATATTTATAGTTCCCTCCAGCCCAGACGCAAGTTATCTCTCAGGGGTGTTTAAAAGCATCATCAACAACAACTTATATATATTTTTTAGAACAGTTTTAGATTTACAGCAAAAATGGGAAGATGATACAGAGAGTTCCCATATATCGCTGTCTTAGTCTGTTTAGTGTTGCTATAAAAGAATACCTAGGCAGAGCACTGCGGCTCATGCCTGTAATTCCAGCACTTTGGGAGACTGAGGAGGAAAATTGCTTGAGCCCAGGAGCTCAAGACCAGCCTGGACAACATAGTGAGACCCTGTCTCTACCAACAAAAGAAAAAAATTAGCCTGGCTTGGTTGTGCACACCTAGTCCCAGCTACTCAGGAGGCTGAGGTGGAAGGATCGTTTAAGCCTGGGAGTTTGAAGCTGCAGTGAGCTATGATAGTGCTGGTGCACTCCAGCCTGGATGACAGAATGAGGCCCCCATCTCTGAAGAAGAAGAAGGAGTGGGAGAAGAGGAAGAGGAAGAGGAATGAGAAGGAGAAGGAGGAGGAGGAGGAGGAGGAGAAGGAGAAGAAGAAGAAGAAGAAGAAGAAGAAGAAGAAGAAGAAGAAGAAGAAGAAGAAGAAGAAGAAGAAGAAGGAGGAGGAGGAGGAGTGGGAGAAGAGGAAGAGGAAGAGGAAGGAGAAGGAGAAGGAGGAGGAGGAGAAGAAGACGAAGAAGAATAAGAAGAAGAAGAAGAAGAACAGAAGAAGAAGGAGAAGAAGAAGAAAGAACAAGAAGAAGGAGGAGGAGAAGGAGGGATGGAGAAGAAATGAATATTTCAGGCTGGGTAGTTTATGAAGAAAATAGGTTTATTAATATTTGGTTCATGGTTTTGTGGGCTTGTACAAGAAGGATGGCATTAGCACCTGATTCTGGTGAGGACTTCAGGAAGCTTCCAATCATGGCAGAAAGAGAAGGGGAGCAGACATCACATGGCAAGAGAGGGAGCAAGAGGGAGAGGGGAGGAAAGTGCCAGGCTCTTGTTTTAACAATCAGTTCTCTAGTGAACGAATAGAGTGAGAACTCACTTATTACCGTGGGGACAGCACAGAGCCATTCATGAGGGATCCACCCCCATGATTCAAACATCTCCCACCAGGCCCCAAGTCTGCCACTGGGGATCAAATTTCAACATGAGATTTGGAGGAGACAAACATCCGAAGGACATCAACCCCAAACCCACTTTCCCCTACTGTTAACATCTTACATGAGTATATTTGTTACAATTAACCAACACTGATACACTGTTATTAGCTAAAGTCCATACTTTATTTATATTTCCATAGTTTTTGCAAAATTTCCTTTTCCTGTTCCAGTATTCTATCAAGGGTACCACACTACATTGAGTCGTTATGTCTTTTTAGGTTCCTATCGTTTGTGACAATTTCTCAGACTTTCCTTGTTTTGATGACCTTTGAGGAGAACTAGTCAGATGTTTTGTAGAATTTTCTTCATTGGGATTTGTCTGATGTTTATCTGATGACTAGACTGCAGCTATGGGTTTTGGGGAGGAAGACAACAGAGGTAAAGTGCCATTTGTGCCGCATCATATCCAAGGTACCTACTAGCGACGTGATTTGACTGTTGGAGTTGACTTTCATCACCTGGCTGAGGTCATCACGTTTGTCAGTTTCTCCACTGTAAAGTTACTTCCCACCTGCCCCCGCCCCCGCCCCGCCACCCCAGCGCTTTCCATAAAACACTCTTGGAAAGGGAGTCATTATGTGCACCTCGCACTTTCAAAATGGGGAGTTACAGTTCCCCTCCTCAAGGACTGAGTTATCTAGATACAGAATTTGGAATTCTGCATGGGAGATTTCTCTTTTCTACCTGTTTGTTCAGTTATTTTTATCAGTATGGACTCATAGATATTTATTTCATACTTTTTGTTACAGTCCAATATTACCTTATTTATTTTGTCACTCAAATTTTTCCAGCTTTGGCCATTGGGAACTCTTTCAGTTAGCTCCTACCCCCACCATTTGTGTGTGTGTGTGGTGTGTGTGTAGTGTGTGTGGTGTGTGTAGGTAGTGTATGTGTGTGGTGTGTGTGTAGTATGTGTATTGTGTGTATGGTGTGTGTGTAGTGCGTGTGGTGTGTGTGGTGCATGTGGTATGTGTGTGGTGTGTGTAGTGTGTGTGTAGAGTGTGTGTGTGGCATGTGTGTGTAGTGTGTGTGGTGTGTGTAGTGTATGTGTAGTGTGTGTAGAGTGTGTGTGGCATGTGTGTGTGGTGTGTGGTGTGTGTGTGTGTGTAGCATTTCTTTACTTTCTGGCACTATCAGATGCTCTGGGCTCATCTTGTAGTGTTTCCTGCCCAAGTCCTATAAACAGCAATTTCTTCAAGGAGCCTTGGATCCTTTTATTGGAGAATGGTATTAGAAACCAAGATTTCAGTGCTACGTGTGCTTGTTGCTATGGAGTATCATTGCTTCTAGGCCCTCTCGCCTGACAGTAAGGAAATAAATGTGTGTATACTAGCCCGTGTGTGTGTGTGTGTGTGTGTGTGTGTATTATATATATATATAACTTTCTGTATGTAATCATCTGCATCTATATTAAGCTAAACATGAGTTCATTCTGGTATCTCCAATTCTAATCTGTTGCCACATGGATCATTCTAGCCTCCTCCTCAGGGGTCATTTTTATCAGAAGCAATGTTGCTTAGTAACATAGCAGACATATGTTTATCTGTTTCCAGGAAACAGAGCTTCCAAAGGTCAAATTCTCATGCAAAAGAGGAAAAGGTTTTGTTAACCCTTTACTTACATTCATCAGTGAGGCTCTCCACTGCTCTGAGGATAAAGAACAAATTACTTGGCCTGTAAGGCTCTGCAGTGACCTGACCTGCTAAGCCCAGGCTCGTCTCCTACCAGGTTCCTTATCAGGCCCTCCATGACAACCATACTGGTCTCCTGCAACTCTCAAACTCGTCACACACTTCCTTCTACCCCAAGGTCTTCGCCTATGCTAGGCGCTCTGCTGGACTTCTCTTTCCTCCCCTCTTTATCTGGTTGCCTTCTACTCATCCTTCTAATCTCAGCTCAGTCCACACTTTTACAGGAAGCCATTCCTATCCCCAAGACTAGGTTGGCACCCTTGTTTGAGGCTTGCACTCTATACTTTTATTTGGTAGCATTTACTATAACTGCAATGTTACATTTACTTATCCTTTTCTCCCACTAGAATACAAGCTTCCTGAGTGTAGGGATGGAGTCTACCTAGCTAACTAGTATATAATATTTGCCCATTTTCTCTGTTCTTTATTCAGTGAGCACTTATCCAGAGCTTCCTAGGTGTTAGCCCCTTTTCTAGTGTCTGGGGATACTGCAGGGAGGGAAACAGGCAAAAACCCTCTTCTTTTGGCACTTATTTTTTAGGGGAGGTGGCAATAAGCAAACAGAAACTAATGTCAGTTGGTAAGTGCTATAGAGAAAAATTCAGAGTGAGGGAGTAAAGAGTGCTGGGGCACTGCTATTTTTGAAAGGATGGCCTGGAATGGCGTCTCTGAGAAGGTGGCATTTGAGCAAAGACTTGAAGGAAGTGAGGGAAGGGGGTGAGTGCGGGAAATATCAGAAAGAAAAACGTCCCAGGCAGAAGGAACAGCCAGCGCAAAGGCTGAGGTAGGACAGCGCATGACTGAGGGAAGGAACAGTGAGTGCTTTAAAGGCGGTATCTCATCCCATTCCCATAACACTTCCTACATCCGTTTCACAGAGGAGGAAACCGAGCTCCAGGAGGGCAGTCCTTTACACCAGGGCACCCAGCTGTGGGGGTGGAGCTGGGATTTGAACAGGAGTGTGGTGCCAGGGCTAGCATCCCTTTGAAGTCTCTAACAACGGGCCAGGCCTCTGCAAGGCTGGGAGGAAATGGAGGCCTTCCCAGCCCTGGTGGACCTGCCTAGGGCTAGGCTATGCTGGCCTTGAAGGCACAGGCATCCATCATCCAGGGTGACTTCCAGTCTCCTGGTTGGGGAGGGCTGCACAGAACTTTGGAGGAGGGCAGGTCAGGCTCCGCTCATGAGGTGGCCGAGGAGCAGGACATGGCACACTCATTCGCCTGTCCTTCCACATGGCCAACTTCTGCTGGCCTTCCCAGAGCCCTCAAAGCCTGCACATTCACAATCCTCATGGACAGAAGTGGATACAGGCTCAGAGGCCAGAGGTACTAACCGAGACCACACGATTCAGCTGGTCACCGTGTCTTCCCGGAACCTGCACGATTCAGACCAAAGCTGTCTCTGGGGTTGGCGTGTGTTCCCCAAAGAGGAAACGTCTCCATGAATTTGGTACTCTAGGCACTTCGCTGGACTCATCTTAACTCCGGCCCTGTAAAGGAAAGAAGTGAAAGTCACCCCTTTTCACAGCCTGTTCACCCACACCCACCTAGGTCTTCTAGGTGATCAGACATGGGTCCTGCTCTCCAGGAGCTGCCAATCCGATGGAGGAGGCTGACCCTTAAACAAAATCACGACCGTCAGAGACAAGAGCAAACAGTGCGGGCAAAAGGAGAGCCCAGATGGAGGGGCCCGTGGGGTAAGTGGGTGTGTGCCCAGGGAGGGGTTCCAGGAGAAGAGGCCCCACAGCTGGGCCTTGGAGGGTGAGGGTGTGTTTGGCCATTGGCAATGCCCCCAGGAGAACACCCCTCTTGGGCGGAGCACTCCACTGTCCCACGGAGAAAAAAATTGCAGAGAAAAGGGGGAGGGGGATCGTCGGATTCTTTCTTGCAGCCTTCAGGTGGCGCCCTTGAGCCACGGAGCCGCAAGCGCCCGAGGAGACCGTCCCGACCTAAGGACCTCGGAGAGGACCCGGGGTCCTACCTGGGGGCTGCGTGCGGGGTGGGGGTGGGGGGAAGGGGAAGTGGCAGAGTGGGGGTGAGGAGTGGGGAGGCACCTGCGCTTGGCGCAATAGGGGCTCTCCGGTGGTGGGGAGGGATCTTCTTCAGCAGCCCCCGCCCGCCCCGCCCCTGCGCCCGTGGACCGCGGGCTCCAAGCCCCAGTTCCCTAAGCCCAGGCGCCGGCGATCCAGATCTGCCTGGAGGGGAGGGGAGGACGGTGGATCGGAGCCCCCGCACCCTCGCCCCAGCCCATCACCCGCCTTCCTGTCCCTCTCCTTGCTAACTCTCCGGGCGCCCTCGCCGGCCGCGGGCGGAGCTCCCTCCGCGGCGCTCGGCGAGCCCCGGCCCCCGCCCCTTCTCCCGTCCCTCCGTCCCCGGATCCCCCCCCCGCCTCCCCAGCGGCCGCCACCGCCGCCGTACAGCTCCGCGCGGCGCGAGTAGGTACGTGCGCCTCGGCAGTGGCTCCGGGCCGGGCCGGGAAGGGGGCGGGAGACCGGGAGGGCGAGGCGGTGGCGGCCGGGCCCGCGCCCTCCGGGCTGCGCCGCAGGAGAGAGACCCCCGCAGGCGAGACCCCCGCAGGCGTACGCCGGCTGCAGGAAGGCGGACGGGCACCGGAGAGGACGCACCCTCGCCCGCCGGCGGCCGGGCGCCCTTCGCCCCAGCGTGGTGAGGCGGGGAGGGAGGCCCGGCACAGGTACGCACGCGGAGAGGGGACCGCTGGGGGCGGCAGGAGGCCGAGGGCCGGGGGCGGGGAGTGGCGGCGAAGGACGGCGAGCCTGACCTCGCGGCCCGCCGAAGGACATGCGACCAGGGGACCCGGCCTCCCCGGGCCTCCGCCTGGTCCGGTTCGGCCTTCCGGGTCCCGCGTCTGTGGGCAAGGGCAGGAGCAGGGGGTGTGGACTGGGCCGGCGGGAGCGGGCGCGGTGGGCAGCCGGCGTGCTGGGGCTTTCTGCGCGCAACTTTGGGTACAACAGCGTGGACCTGCGTGTGCGTATCTGCGCGCCCCAAGGCTTTGTGTACAACTCGTGCGTGTGTCTATCGACTGGGTTTTGTGAAGCTTCACCCACAGCCGCTGTGCGTCCCTCTCTCCGGGTGTCAGTGCGCGCGGCGGGTGGGGTATTGGGCCCCTGCGGGTCTTGGTGGATCTGGCTTGGGTCTCACTCCCAGGGGCACTTTGTGTGTGTGTGTGTGTGTGTGTGTGTGTGTGTGTACGCGCGTGTGCGTGTGACGGGGTACTCGCGTGGCCCGAAGATCCGAGGGTCACACTACGTGACTTCTGGGTGTCTGTGGGTACTGCTGTGGGAACAGCTGCTGGGGGAGTGTGTGTGGAACTGGAGTGTTCCTTTCAGGACCTGTCTGACTGCAGATGAAATTAGTAACTGGTGGGGTCGTGGGGTGTGAATGGTGGGCGGGAGCAGCTATGTCAGTTGGTGTGTTTCTGCTTATGTTAGGGTAATTGGGCACGGCCTTTGTGTAACTGGTGAATATCTCTGAACCTGGGCATGAAACAGAGAGATGTCCTAACTCTGGGTGAGAGGAATCCTCATTTTTCTCTGCCCTCTCACTGTGGCATCCTAAGAAAAAAGTTTTGGGTTCCTGCAGCATGAAGGAGAGCTCTGCTCCCAGAATTTGGGAGCTCCAGATTTCTTCCAGGGTGTGGAGGCATCAATATATCAGTCTGGGAAAGGGGTTCCTGGGCCACTCCAGGAGCTGAGTTGGGTGGAAGGTGCTGAGGGTGTGGGTGGGGGCCACTTCTGAGCACCCATGTGGCACCCACTGCTGGTCCCTGTTTGTGGCTGGGCACTCAGGAAAATGTTTTTGGTGCTAAGAGTAAAAAGCCAACCAACAAACACATCTCTTTTTTCTGTCTATTCACTGGAAAGTAAAAGCAGTCTGGGCGCAGGCTGGGGACCCAGATGGAATTCAAACTTATGCCTGCTCTCAAGGTGCTCACGGTTGCTGATAAACAGCTGGATAAAATGAAGAGTCTATGAGTGAGGGATGCAGAGCCAGGGAAGGCTGGTGGAGTGATGCCACCAGCACAGGGGTATGAGTTTGCAGGTTTGTACATGATAATAATTCTTAGGGAATCTGCATTCAACTCCTGTCCTCCACCCTCCCATACATGCCATGGGATCTTGGCCATGTTTTATGAAATAGAGACAGTAATTCCGGATCGTGGGGCTGGTGAGGGTGATATGAGATACTCCTGCATGAAGTGTCGGGTACATGGCTCAACAGCTAGTAGGTGCTTGGTAAACATTTACTAAATTGAGACTCTGGAAAGAGAGACGTAGTGATAGAAATGGGCTGTAAAGGGAAAAGAGCTTTGTACTCACATGAAAGGCCCTATATGTGCTAAGAGGAGGTGTCTGATGCTAGTCCATATTGACAAGAAGGTCAGAAAGATTGAAAAACATGTCTTCCTGCACTGAGGCTCTTTGAGTTTCATTCATTCATTCATTCCATTCATCCTCACTTCATTTGCTCATATTTACACACACACACACACACAAACACACACACACACACACACACACAGAGAACGAACCACAGTGCACTGGAGAATAAACTCCGGCATGAGAATGCAGAGAATCGTGTGTGTGTGCATGTATGTGTGCGTAGACACACCGGAGCATGTGAGCCACTCTGCACCTGGTGGTCTCTGTAGCCCATGGCTTGTGCGCCTAGGGCTCTGAGTGTATGTGCCCTCAGGCCATCAGTGTATACAAGGAATGATGCAGTTCTGCTGTGGATTAGGAATGACACATGCCAGGCAGGGAAGGGGGCTGAGGTGGGACCTGTCGGGGAGAGGCTAGATCTGCCTAAGAGCCCCGATTGCCAACTCCAGGCGAGTGTTACAAGGGAACGGGGGCCTAAGGTGGCCAGATTCTTTCATTTTGCAGGAGAAGCCAGGAATCCAACATTTAAAATGTAAAATCTAAAATCTTTTGCTTTTTATACATTTGCAACTAATTCACCAAAAACAAATGAACAGGCCAGGAACAAAACAAAGCAAAACTTCTATCAGCCAAATATGGTCCCCGGGCTGTAAGTCAGTATCCTTCAGCGGGAATGCACATGTGCTGTCTGTGTCTGGGTGGGTTTGTGTTCAGGTTCTTGGGTGGGGTAACTCCTCTTGCAGCACAGAGAGTGTCCCTCTTCTCGCCTCTCCCTCCCGGTTCCCCTCCTGTGGTTCTAGTCCAGGTCCCCACACTTCTGTTTACATAAAGGCATTTGGCTTTGACCTAGTCATGGCTCTCCAGTCTGCCCCTTCCTCTTGGCCCTTTTAGCCATGCCATCCCCAACCTGCTGGCTTCCTTGCTGGACCCCCATCCTCCACTTTGCCCCCTCCCATCTCATCAGTCCTCCTTTCTTCTGAAGCCGAGGCACTTCCTGCTCCAGCTCCTCAGCTCTGCATGGCTCTCGGGCTCCTTGGCCTGGCTTTCAGAGTCCTCTGTGAGCCGGCCCCAGCTGGCCTCTGAGGCAGTCTGTTCCCCTTTCCAGAATGCCCTCATCACCTTCCATTGCTGGGAAGTATCCAATTCATCTTCTGAGATCTGGCTCAAATGCCACCAACTCCCAGAAACTTCCCTTCCTCTTTGTTCCCACAACAACTTCTGCATTTCTACCCCCTCCCCCACCCCTCCGTCATCCTTCCCTCATACAACAAGGTCCATGGATTGCACTGGCCAGGGTCTTGCATGCACTATTTTATGAAATCCTCACAACAACCTTATGAGGGAGGCATTTTATTCATTACCATTTTATAGATAAGATGAAGACCGAATCTGGAGAGGTCACATCACTTGCCCAAGCCCAAGTGGTGAAGCTGGGATTTGAGCCTGATATTCACACTACCTACATTCCCTCCAGTATAATAGGAACTCATCGCTAACTTTGAGCACTTAGTGTTCTGAGTACTTCGTATAGGTTATCTCAATCCTACTCCAGCTTTGCGAACTAGAGGGTAGTAGTAGTATTATTTTATAGGTGGGGAAACTGAAGCCAGACAGGATTAGTGAATTGCCCACAGCCATACCCCACCCGGTGGTAGAGTGGGATCTGGGCTTGGATCACACTGTTCTGTCATCGTCTTATTCCCTGTCTTCCCCTCTGTCTGGCAGACACCCCCAAGTGGGAATTGTGCCTGACTCACCTTCATGTGCTTAGGGACTGGTATGATGTCCTCCACAACAGGGAGAGGTTGCTACATTCAACTGACTTTCTTTTTTCTCTTCCAGCTGCCAAGGGGCCAAGGGATGAGCTGGGGCCCTCCTTCCCAATGGCATCTCCCCCTGGTCTGGAACTGAAGACACTGAGCAATGGTCCCCAAGCCCCAAGGAGATCAGCTCCCCTGGGCCCAGTGGCCCCAACCAGGGAGGGTGTGGAGAATGCCTGCTTCTCCTCAGAGGAGCATGAGACCCATTTCCAGAACCCTGGGAACACGAGACTGGGCAGCTCACCCAGTCCCCCTGGGGGTGTCTCCTCACTGCCCCGATCCCAGCGGGATGATCTGTCCCTTCATTCAGAGGAGGGGCCAGCCCTGGAGCCCGTGAGCCGCCCGGTGGATTATGGCTTTGTTTCCGCCCTCGTTTTCCTGGTGAGTGGGATTCTTCTGGTGGTGACAGCATACGCCATCCCCCGTGAGGCTCGAGTCAATCCGGACACAGTGACAGCGCGGGAGATGGAACGACTGGAGATGTACTACGCCCGCCTAGGCTCCCACCTGGACAGGTGCATCATCGCAGGCCTCGGGCTGCTCACGGTGGGCGGCATGCTCTTGTCGGTGCTGCTCATGGTCTCCCTGTGCAAGGGCGAGCTGTACCGCCGGAGGACCTTCGTCCCCGGCAAGGGCTCCAGGAAGACCTACGGCTCCATTAACCTGCGCATGAGACAGCTCAATGGGGATGGGGGCCAGGCCCTGGTGGAGAATGAAGTTGTCCAGGTCTCAGAGACTAGCCACACCCTCCAGAGGTCTTAAGAACTAGCCCACCTTATCTGGCTGCTTTAGCTCCAGTGCTACAAGGTCCACCCCCTGCTCCCGCCCACCTGACCCCTGCCAAGGCCCTGGGGTTTTAAACTGAGCTCACATAGGGCCTTGTGGAAGAAGTACTGGGTGCTGGAGGGAGAGCTCGGGGCCCAGCCCATGCCCCACACGGGCAAGCAGCCCACTGATCTGTTTTGTAGCTGAGGTTTTGCATACGGTTTTGTTTGGAGGATGGCTTCTGCTGCTAAAAATACAAAAGTTTGGAAACCGCTGCTCTTGGAGGATGAGGTTTCTTGGCATTTCTCAAGATTGGGAGCTGTTTGAAAGGTTGCCCATCCTCTTCCCTCATGCCTTGGGGAGTGAGGGACCTCTGCTGTCCTTATTGGCTGAGTGAGGGTGTTGATTGGCCGTGGAGGGGTCCCTTTCAGCCCTGATCATCTAAGGTGGGGGAGGTGGCTTCATGATGAGGGGAGAAGTCAGCACCAGAGTGACCCCCAGTACCCCCACTGACTAAACTGTGATCCTACCCTCACCAGGCCTCAGTTGCCCTGCCTTCAAGTGAGGGGGTTGGACTGGATGACCCCTCAGGTCCCTCTAGTTCTTCCCTGGGAATGGGAACCCAGTCTCTATCTCCAGTCACCCCTCCAGGGCAGGAAGGCATCCACCAGGCACTAACCATTCTCCCTGCCATTTTCTGGCCTGACCTCAGGGACCACCACAGCCAGCAGCTCTCATGGTCTCAGGGAAGAGCTCCCTGGTGGGGTTGGGTTCAGTTCAAAGTTTGCTACAGCCTGGTTTTGGTCTTGGGGTCTAATTTCCTGCAGTGACACATTTTTACAAAGCCAAGTGCACAATATTACCCAGTTCTCTGGGCAAGAAGGATCTTTTACACAGGAAAGGGTGAGGGCTTTATTGTATTTCTGTGGGCATGATGCAGGCCTTGATCACCTTCTCCTCCATAGTATGTCTCTTGCTCCTGACCTTATTTGGATAACAGGAAAAAAAAAAATTTATGCTGAATTTGTAACCTTAGTCTCCCTCATATAGTAGTAAAGTGAAGCCACAGTTTATTTGGGGGAGAAATCAGGCACATTTGGGTGGCCTGGACACGCTGGCCACATTGCCATTTGTGTTTTTCTTATGAAATGTTTCTAGGTTCCTGCAGACTTTCTTTAAACTCTTGGTAAGGAAAGGAAGTAGGCCCTGGGGCAAGGAGATACAGGTGTTTGAGGACTGTGGGGAGGCATCCTTCAGTCTGAATGGACCCAGAGGGCTTTGAGAGCACATGCCTTCTAAGCCACTGGTGTAGAGACCCTACAGGAGCCATTTTAGTGAATCCCCTGCCCAATGTAGGTCCTACTTACTCCATCTCAGTTGGCCACATGGGCCGAGGATCCTGTTCCTTGGGGGTGGGAGGGTGGGGGGGCATGGGGTCTGTAGTGTAGAGAGGCCCTGATTAGCTGTAACTTGAGCCTTCAGTCCAGTGAGTTAAACATCTGGGGAGTGTAATATCACAGCTTCTATGACAGATCAAATATCTGCTCCTACTGGTAGGTTTTACCAAGAGCAGAGAGCTAGAGGAAGACTGGAAAGGACAAGGGTTGTTTAGCTTGGCTTCCCAGGTTTTTGTTGTGGTATTGAAGGGGTATGGTGTGGAAAGAGCAAAGCTCCAAGATGGTAAAAGATTCACAAGTCCTAGGCTTCCACTGTTGTGTCGCTTTCTCCCAGGCTCCAAGTAGGCACAGCCACAGAACGTGGCATGAGCTGTTCTAAGTAAACTACATAGGATTGGACATCCCAAATCATGGGCTAAGGCTTTTCAATCCATAATGATAATTAAAAAAATATCAACCAAGTCATATGGATTACTGTGATGGTGGCAGACTCATTTGGATACTAAACCTGTTGAGTGAATGCATCTGGGACCATCAGTTCATATCAGTTTAAATGCAATGAGTTTATTTAGGGGAGAAATTGGGCATATTTGGGTGGCCTGGACATGCTGGCCGCACTACCATTTGTTTTTTTCTTACGAAATGTTTGATGTTAATCATCAAACAGATTTAGGGGCTAAATCTGTTTGATGATTAAATCCCAGGAGTCTCAGGTTTTTCTAAGCCAGAGAAGCCTGCTTTGCATTCTAATGTTGAAAGTCCTTTAGAAAATGTGTATAATGGACTGAGGCGTTATTACCTTGTCAGTGAATTAAGAAAACTTAAGAGATGACAAAAGCATTTCCCCATGATTACAGCTGAGATCTGCCAGCTGATGGATCAGAAACAGGTTTAAGGAGGAGGTGATTAGGAACACGGAGTAGGATGCTGAGAACTTTCTTTGCAGGCATTCCAGGGGCCTCTGTGGTTACTGGAATGTGCCTCTCCTCCAGGAACTGCCTCTCCCACCTAACCTGCTCCTAGGGCCCCAAACCTTGCTTTTCCTGGTGCATCAGAACAGATACCGATTTTGGAGTTGGTAAGACTAAAGTTGGAATCCAGGCTCTGCCACTTACTGGCTGTGTGACCTTGGGCAAGTTACTCCACCTCTCTGAGTCGGGATTTCTCTATCTGTGAAGTGGGATTAATGAAAGCTCTGCCTCAGGGTGGTGGTGCAGATTACAGATAAAATGGAGAACTGCATAGTATGAGGTCCAGGGATGATGATGCTCTCCTTCCCCACCTCAACTGGGGATAGCTGGATTAGGCCTCAAACGCTGTGGTCAACCCTTCTGCCTTTCTTCTATCACACCTCACATTCCAGATCAGCGCATCTTGTCAGCTCCACTTTCAGAATCTGATTGCTGTCCACCCTCGGCTGTCACCGCCAGTCCAGGGTTGCTCACTGGTGTTCTGGCTTTCTCTCTTACCCCCTTCTCCTCCCCTCCTCCCCGCCCCATCACCAGGTTCATGCTCCACTCAGCAGCCAGAGGAAGGCCAGAGGCTGGTCAGGTCAGGCCACTCCTCTGCTCAAAACTCTCCTATGGCTCCCTCTCCAGGCAAAAGCCAAAATTCTCACCACAACCAGTGGCAGATTTATAGCAAGACTGGCAAAGCTTAAGTGTCCGGGCCTCTCACTAGCACAAGCCCCTTCCAAGGCCCTGAATTGGTTTATCTATCTTGAGGATGCCCCACTGGACTGCATAAGCTTCAGGTACCCCCAAACCAGGGTTCATCCCTCACAGTGGCCTACAAGGCACTAAGCAATTGGGACCCTGTGCTTCTCTGACCTCATCTCTCACCCCTTACCCCTTGCTCACTCACCCCAGCCACACGTGCCTCTTGACCATTCCTCAACCTTACTGGGCACGCTCACATCCAAGGGACTTCAGACGTGCTGCTTCTTCTGCCTGGAAGGTACTTCCCCTCAGTATCTGCAAGGCCCACTCCCTCACCTCCTTAGGGGCTTTATTCAAATATCTTCTCCTCAGTGAAGCCTTTGCTGAACACCATATTTAAATTTGTACCCCACCCCACCTCATTCCCTTTTGTCCTTCGCTGCCTTATTTTTCTCTGATCACTAATCATGACCCAGCAGGCTGAGCCTTGTACTTGTCTTTCCCACCCACGACCTCTCCTGCTGGACTGCAAGCTCCATGAAAGCCGGAATTTTGGTCTAACTGGTTCTTGCTGTACTCCCAGTGTTAGAAACATGTTTGGCACATAGTAGGTGCTCACTGTTGAATGAATGGATGAATAAATGTAACAAAAGCTTCTTATACCTGCCAGTGCTGCAGAGCCATATGCAGGACCCAGGAGGCCCATGGTTCCTTCCCAGACTCCTGGAGCCCTCTCTAGGGGTGAGGATCAGTTGTGCAAAGGATCACATGCCTCAAAGGTGCTGATTTTGTCACTGGGCCCTGCAGCTGGGAACTTGGGAATCCATTTGCCTTCCTCTCCCTGGGCCTTGGTAGGGCTTTATGTGGAAGGGTTAGAGGGGTGTCCCTCAGAAGACCCTTCTCCCCTAACCTTGTTGGGACATACCCAGGTTCCAGCTAAACCTGGGAGACATTTGCTGGGTGTTTAGGGGCCTGTGAGAAACCAGCCGGATTCTTCCCATCCAAGGACCTTGAGTGCCCAGGCCTGGCCCTTTGGAACCCCAGTATCCATGATCACATCTACTCACTTACCTCAGGCATCTCCCAGCCCAAAATGCCAGCTGCCTGAGATTCCACCATTTTTGCTCCCTTCCTTGAGAATAAGCATTAATTTCCCTGGGATTCTCTTTAAAATGTCCTCACTGAATGGACATGTCTGTACATACACATGTGCATATGTGCAAGAGCACACACATGCGCTTGCACGTACACACACACACACAGAGCTTTCTCTTGTCTGACCAAGCCCAGAGACCAAGGACACCTATCTTGTAAAGCAGCTTCAAGCCAGGACATCCTCTGGATGATTGACGACATTTTCTGTTTCTCCACCAGCCATAGGCCTTGCAGTTCCCAGAATGCCAACCTCACAGCAACAATCAAGTTTCTCCTCCCCAGGCGAGGCTGGTTTCTCTGTATTTTTCCTGCTTCCCCCGCCCTTAGCAGGATGGGGAGAGATGTCCAGAAGCATTTCTGTCCTGGCATTTCTGGAGGGGACTGTGTGATCCTGGGCTGGGAACCAGGAGAGCTAGGTCCTGTTGGTCACCCCTTCTCTCTGTGGGCCTTTGGGCAAATTACTCCATCTCTCTGGTCTACCAGAGGAAAATTGGAAACCTTCCCACTCTGCCTTCTCTGAAAGCTGGGGGATCAGATAACACAAGCAGAGGACTTTCCAAAGCTTGGTACTCTGTGTCTGGAGAGCTTTGAAGGGGCAGGAGTAGAGGGGAAGGGAGGCATTATTAAGAAGCCACAGGATGGGGTTCTGTGTCAGGTTCTGTCAGGAGGCACTCACAAAGTCAGGGAGGCCCTCCATCTGGGCCTGCTGGTCTCTCCTGGAGAATGGACTCCTTTTGATGTTCCCCAGGAGGTACATTTCAGCTAGAGAAAGAGAAACTTGCTGAGATCTGGGCTGGAGTGGTAGGGAGCTTCTTGTCAGTGGAGGTACGTTAGCATCTACTGGTCAAGTGTTGGCTATCTTAGGGATGGAGCATAGTGGAGATGGGTAGGATTTAGCCAAGAGACTCCCCAAGCTTCCAACCCCCCCGCCTTTGAGGGGAGCCGATGTCCCAATGGCCAGATCCTGGCTAAAGACAGTAACAACCCTGGCCCTGTGATATTTTCTTGTCTTTGGCCCAAAAACCCTCTTCGCCACATTATTTCTCTTCTAGATCAAGCTGTTCCATGAGCAGATGGACAGGACCAGGACACCTAAATGGTGCAGAGGGTTGCAGGATGACCATCTTCCTCCTCCCAGAGGGCCAAGTGATTCTGAGCTTTCTCCCTACTCAAATCTCAGAGAGCTTGTCAGAGGCAGGATCCCTTACAGAGGAGGTCCACTGAGGATGATGGTCCATCAAATGAGAATGTAAGTCAGATTAGAGTCTTGACTGCCTGGATGCTTGGTTGTTGTTTAATGCCTCTTAGCCTGTTTCCTCATCTGTAAAAGGGTAGTGCTAATAACAGTGCCTTCCCCATAAGGCTGTGGTGAGCAGAAAATAACATGATACCTGTAAAGCACTTAGCACGGTGCCTGGCACCCCATAATTGCTTGATGTCAGCTATTTGTGTTGGTTCGTTCGTTCGTTCATTCACACACAATCTGCATTCCTCCCTGAGCTAGGCGCTGTAGGGTACACACAGACCCTGCCCTTGAGTTGGTCACAGGCTGTCTGGGGAAACAGGACAGTGTGATTGCTGCTGTGATGAGCATGCACAGTGGGCTGTGTGTGTGGAGGAGAGATCTGATTGAACTGGGGTCAGAAAGGGTCACCCTTCTTCCAGGAAAGAAGGGTGTGTCTAACGGGCATTTTAAACAGTGAGGCAGTACCCAGTGTGAAGAAAGAGTGGAGAGAAGGAAAGGCACTCGGGGCAGAGGAACAGCATGAGCAGAGGCTCAGAGGCCTACACAGCCTGGCGTGCACTGCGGTGGTGGTGGGGGTAAGGGGGGTTGGTGGTGGTGGGGAGGGGGGTGGCAGGGGGCGGGAGGGAGGTCTGCATTCTGGGCTGGAGTGTGGAGATGAGGCATACTGAAGGGCATGCCTCAGTGTTTCATCATCTATAGAATGGGGACAACCACAGTACTGAAATCACAGGGCCATTATGAAGAATCAGTTCTCAGAGACAGTGTATAGCACATGGAGAGAGGTCACTGTCAGCCATTATAATCGCTTGCAGATGTGTGTGGCAAGAAGAATCTTCTGATGTCATGCCCTTTAGGGGTGACACTGGCGCTGGGGAGGCCCGTCCATGGGACTGTGGACTCTGGTACCCCCCAGCCCTTCTCAGGGATCCCGCTGCAGCCAGAGGACATAACCTCAAGCTCCAGGTACTTCATCTCAACAACCTGTCCCTACTTGGACTCTGAGCCACCAAGGTCAAGGTGGCAGCTGCTGCTCTCCTGGGCTGAGGGGGAGGTTAGCAAGTGGAAGGAAAGCTGGCCCCAGGGGAGCAGGGAGGGCAGAGGAAGAAGGCGGCTTCCATGCCAACCTCTTCCCGGGTGGCTCAGTGTCTGGGCCAGTACTGACTTAGGGCCAAGGGCATTCAGCAAAGCCATTTCTCTCCCATCTCATCTTTCTTCCCTTCCTCCAATCTCTCCCTATTCCTCTATTTTTGATTCCTTTTCATGTCCGCATTTCATTTTACTGAAGTCACTCATGGGGGTTAGGCACCCACAGGAGAGTTGTTAACTACTGCTGACTCTCCCCCTGAGAGTCCCCACCCTTTCTCATCAGATTAAAGCAGGGACCCAAGTGCAAATGCCTGCAGGGCTCGGCAGGTGACATTAACGAACTAAGCAGGTGGCTGTGGACAGCGGCAGGATTAAAGGGGAGGTCTGCTTCAACTCTGGCTGGCTGTTGCCCTGTGGTGGATGGGCTCAGGGTTACCAGAACTCCTGATTTTTCAAGAGCAGCTGGACTGCTGGACCTTTGTGTGGGTAAAAGAATGCTGAAAGGGATTATCCCGCTGCCTGAAAATGGTGGTTGAGGACAAGGGAGTGTCCAATGAGATGCCACTTGCTGGGACCAGACCTCCACACCCTTCCCCCTGCCCAGGACTTAATAAATCACTTAAGAAGGGGACCGATGCCTGCCTCCCAGCTGCAGGGCTGAGCTGCAGGGCCTGCAGACCACCTGAGTGTTACCCATCCAAGCACCCTTTATTCATTCTTTCAACAAAGATTTGAGCACTCTGTGCTAGGTTTTGGAGATACAGCACTGAACAGATGAAAAATGTAAGGAGAGTATTCTTGAGAGGGCTTGAAATGTTATCTTCTGGAGCTCAGAAGAGTTTGTGAACATGGAGATGAGGTCTATTTCTGACCAGAAAATTCCTGAAGTGGGAAGCCCCTCGTGGGAACAGCCCACGCTGACTTGAAGGGATGGTGGTATTGGGGATCAGGGAGGAGGAGGGACAGTCCTACCTCCCCTCCAAGTGTCCCAAAGCCCTTGTAGGTAGGGGAAGGACCCCAGTGTTCCTGGGGTTCCAAGCACTGATGCAGGGAGGTGAGAGGAGGCTGAGCTGTGGGTGGCGCAAGTGACTGCAGGCCAGCATACTATGTCAAAGAGATGGGCTGTGAGCCTCTTAGCCTCTTAGATTGGACAGAGATCCCCACTCCTCTCTGAGGGTCCAGGACAAAGCACTCACCACCACTCCCAAATTATGCATGTAGTCTACTGAAAACCCCAGCATCAAACCAAACCAAACCAAACCCAACCCAAAAACCTAGTATGGATTAGAGTAAGACCACCTGTAGCTGGGCATAGTGGCTTGTGCCTGTAATCTCAGCTACTCCAGAGGGTGAGGTGGAAGGATCACATAAGGCCAGGAGTTCAAGACCAGGCTGGGCAACATAGCAAGACTCCATCTTGAGGATCACTTGAGGCCAGGAGTTTGAGGCTGCAGTGAGCTTTGACCATGCCACTGTACTCTAGCCTGGGCAACAGAGACTCTGTTTCTTAAAAAAACAAATAAACAAAAACCAAAATCTCCTCTCACCATCCTCATCATCATGGCCAGTGAAGAGACTTTACTTTTCTCCCTTCCTCCCCCTCACCCACCACACTGGAGGAGCAAGAGCTCAGAAGAAGCCAGAGACCACCTCTTGCAAGTTTGGGAGGTGGAAAGTTTAAGCTGGGCTGGACTGAGTTTGAAAATCAAAGTGCCCAGTTACTTATTGGCTGGGCCCAAGATATTGAGATACGAAAGGAGTAGTTGATAGAGGTCAGCTGAATAAAAAGAAAACACTTCATGTTTGTACACTGCAATGAACCAGTTACTTATTACACACATTAAGTCACCCTATTTTTAAACAATAGTGTTCTCTCTGTGCCAAGCCCTCATCTATGTCTTTACATGGACTAGATCATTTAAAGCTCATAACAATCCTACAGAGGGGTCCTATCACTACCTCCATTTTACATATGAGGATGCTTTGGCACAGCTACGTTAAGTGACTTGCCGAAGGTCACACTACTGGTAAAGAACAGAGTCAAAACTCTAATAGCTGCCATCATGCATCTTATCAAATTTAATAACATGCACGCCAGTCAGAGCACATTTGTGGGCAAACCTGGGCTATCAGCTGTCACTTTGATGCCCAAGGTTTACATGTAAATTGGGAAGCTCTGTGGGGGAGAGGAGGAGGGCAGGTTGGGGGAGCACTGAACTCAGTCCAGCCCATGGCCCACTTAGTCATGGACTCTCACAGATAGGCAGGATCTTGGGGAGGTGGGTCCATCCTTATCTACATTTTACAGATGGGGAAAGCCAAACTTGTCCAAGGCCACCATGGCCAAGGGCCCCTGGGCCATCCCTCTCTTCACATGCTTCTCACTCAAATTTCTGTCCTGGGAACCAAGAAACCTTGAGGATGGAACTGCTCCCATACTTCCTTCTGAAGGAGAGGGAGAGGGCAGGGCTCTGTATTGGGTGGCAAGACACCTAGGTCCAGGCCCCCTCCTCTCAGGATGCCTGTCTGTCCCCAAGAGTGGGCCATCCTGGGTAAGGAAGCAGCAGACACTGACCTGAGCTGGCTCCAAAGGCCTCCTCCAGCGGCTTTAGGGAGGCTGGGCGCTGACCAGGGTGCTGAACCTGTATGGCACCTTCCTCTTAACACTCAGCCTAGCTGCGGGAACTGGGAGGGGGAAAGAAGGGGTCCTGCATATTTTTGTCACTCAGGGACCTCCATGACTGATTTGGACAGTGCTTACTGGAAACGCCCTGGACTTGGAGCCAGGATTTGTGGTCTGTGTGGCCTTGGGAAAGTCACTCAACAGCTGTGGACCTGCTTTTTCACCTGTCAATAGGGAAGACTAGCTGCCATCCTACTAAACTCAGAAGGCCGAGGTGAGCAGCACATGGAGCCAGGTGACAGAGCCCAGCAGAGAGCCCGAGCCCATTCCTGTGGCCCAGGGAAGCCTGTTAGGAGCTCCCCATCACATATGGGTTTCTTGAGCCTGTTTCTTCCTCTGTGGAATGGAGGTTGTGCAGGTGGTTTCAGATGCTCCTCCTAACCAGGTGCTCTGGGCACTGTGGCTGCAGGTGGAGGTACTCAGGAGCATGAGGCACGCTGTGCAAATAGGACTGACTGAGGAGCCTTAAGACCATCCTGGGGATTATGAAGCATCACTCCTTTCTCACACAAGTCCTGACGTGGTTTCCCAGCTTCTGGAATGGGTTTTGCCCAGGGACCCATGCACCTCACCTAGAGAGGATGTGAGGTCTGGGTACAGCAGTTCTACTGAAAAGAGCACTGACCTGGGTTCCAATCACGGTTCTGCCACCCCAGGGGGTAGGTGCAGCATCTCAACTAATGCCACTAGCTGTGTTTACCTTGGGGTTGTCAGGGGTACTACATGCGATGAGGAGAAGCCTAGCACGCTGTGTGCACCTGATAAATGCTTGTTTCCTGCACTGGGGGATATTCCAAGGTTCCTCTCTTGTCCTTGAGTCCCACCCTTATCTACCCATATGACTTTAGTAACAATTGCAGCAAGCACCCACCGAGCCCCAACTCTCTGTTAATAAGACACATTATTTGGTTGGATCTTGCAAGAATCCTGCAGGTAGGGGTGATGCTCATTTTGTGGATGAGGAAGGCCACACACTGAGAAAGGGAGGGCTGTGAGTAACCACGCTTGACTGAGTCTGAGACTCCTGCTTGACCCTGAGCAAATTACTGGACCTTCCCAATCCTTCCTTTTCTGGTACAGGAAATGGGGATAACACCTCATTATGGTTATGGTTTGAAGATATAATGTATGCTATAAAGGTGCTGCATTTTTAAAGATAACATGAAACACATCTAAGTGACCCATGGGGGCAAAGGAATGGAGTGGATACTGGGGGTAAAATCAACGAAAACTTCGAATCAGAGTTCATGCATGCATTAATCATAATGTGCCATTAACCAAGAGGACTGACTGGCTCAATTCTTTGTACTCGATATTCACGTAAAGGAAAAAGACATAGTCCATGTGAGCTTCTCTCACTTTAAGTTTACACAAATCTCATGGAGAACTTGTTAAAATGCAGATTCTCATTCAATGTCTGGGGTGGGGCTTGAGATTCTGCATGTGTAACAGGTTCCCAGGTGATGCTGCTGTTGCTGGTGGTCTGAGTAACAAGGAGGTAGGTCTTCCCCTCCCTTCTCAGTTCTCAAACTTGCATGATCATAGGACTCACAAAAGGAACTTGTCAAAAATGGATCTGAAGGCCGTTCCCTTGAGATCTAGATTGGGGCCCAGCATGTACTAATGTGTACTTAGAGCAAGCATCTCAGGAGATGGTTAGGCTCAGGCATGCAAGGCTGTGGTACCCATTTATATCATGGTCCATGGCGTAGACAACACAGAAGATTGGCTCACTAGACCTCTGTCCCAGTGCACCTTCCAGGAAAGGTGGGAAGAGGGAATAAAGACATCTCCCCAATATTCCATGCCAGTACCATTTGAGAGGCCATGTAGGTTCCAACAACCAGACGCATTCAATTGAGCCTTGAACTTGGATGAGCTAGCTGAGTGGTGTCCAGATGGCAGTGTGAAGGACATCTACTTTTTGGTGCAGATATAGGCAGCTGCTGTGTGGCTCTGGAGTTCCTAATCCCCAGATTGTAGCAATGATGATGTGATCCTGCTGCTCTCTGGACCATTACCTTTTTGGTTACAAAAGGTAAATTTCTGTTTACTGCAGCTGAATCCCAGGACTAATGCGTCAGCAGCATCCTCTCACTACCTTGTCCCTCTAAACCCACTGTGACTCTCACAACATCCACCTTAGGTGGCTCATCTGGAACGCAGCTGTTCAAATGGGCATCCAGTGACCTCTATTGCACTGCACCATCAGCCTCACGTTCCTCCAAGCAAGGGCTGGGCCTTCCACTTCGCACCTCCCATGGGCACTACCACTCGTGAGGTGTTCAAACCTCCTGTCATTGTTGCTGGGTCTGTCCTCAGTCAGCTAGGCCTTGCCACCCCTCACTGCCTACCATCCTACCTGCCACCCTTGCCTTTTGACCCACCCTCCAGGACAGATTCAGGGCCAAGTACGGCCGCAGTGACTTGGTCCATGTGTCCTGGGGTTAATGCAGTGACGCATTAGTCCTGGGGTTCAGATGCAGTAAACAGAAATTTACCTTTTGTAACCAAAAAGGTTACGGTCCAGAGAGCAGCAGGATCACATCATCATTGCTACAATCTGGGGATTAGGAACTCCAGAGCCACACAGCAGCTGCCTGTATCTGTGCCTTGTGGTATCCCAAGGGCAATAAAGGGCTGGGGACTTGGATGTCTGTCCTTGAATATCTCCTTTGGTGCAAAAAGTCAATAGTGGTTTATACACATGCAAGTTTTATGACAGAAACAGCTGGGGATATACATGTGGGGAATCTTCCCTTGCCCTGGTGGTGCCTTATTGGAAATGTACAGAAGTAGACAAATTTAGGTGACAAAGAATACTAACTGCTCCATAGATTCTAATATTCCTCCTGTGAAGAGAGGCATGGATCATTAATAGAATGTTATTAACAACAGTAGAAAGGGAGGCCATAGGAGAAACTAGGTTCCAAAGAGTGAGGCTGCGTGGAACTTGCTACCTATTTTCTAACTACATGTCAACAACCACTGACCATCCAGCACAGGAACACCATCGCCACTGTGAGCACAATACATTCTTGGAGTTTCAGTCTCAAGAGACTCATGACTTCACAACGGAGGTTGACAGACACTTATGACTGAGGAGATGAATGCAGTAAGAAACACTGCTAACTCTAAGAATTGGGGAAGAGACAAGCCAAGGAAGAGGAGGTGTGATGTGGGGGCTGCTGGTACATCATAGAAATGGTCCGAAATGGTCTATGGCACTTCACCACCAAAAGACAATTTAGAACCAGATCTTTATTCTACTTGTAATTCACTGGATAAACAAAGAAATTTCAAACCAAACCAAAGTGATGATCTGAATCTCATTAGACCTGAAGGTCATGAGAACTTTCTCTAGAGACAAAACCTGCCCTGTATCACATCCAGCCTAGAACCATCCCCAAAAGTCAAATCAACTGCTCTGCAGCTCACCAGCCATGTTCATCCCAAGGTGGTGATTATCAAAACCACAGATTGCTCCCCAAGGGGGACTGACTCTGGTCTCTGCCTTGCTTGGTGTAGGTCAAAATTCTTTTTTAAAAAATGGAAGAGAAGACCACAATGAGATGCTACTTCACGCTAACTAGGATGGCCATAAGCATGAAAAATAACAAGAGTTGGTGAAGATGTGGGGAAACTGGAACCCTCATAAATTACCAGTGGAAATGTAAAATGGTGCAGCTTCCGTGGAAAACAGTCTGACAATTCCTCACAAAGTAGAATATAGAGCTACCATGTGAACCAGCAATTCCACTCCTTGGTATATACCCAAATGAACTGAAAACATCTGAAACTCAAACAACTGAAAACTCAAAAACTGGTACACAAATGTTCTTGGCTGCATTACTCATAATAGCCTTTTTGTAGAAACAACCCAACTGTCCATCAACTGATAAAAGGATAAGCAAAATGTGATATATCCATACCATGGATACATGCTACAGCATGAATGAATCTTGAAAACATCACATGAAATGAAAGAAGCCAGACACAAAAGGCCATAATACTGAGTGATTCCACTTATGAGAACTGTCCAGAAAAAAAAAAAAAATCTTTAGAGACAGATGTTAGTGGTTGCCTGGGGCTGGGAGCAAGGGAATGGGGAGTCATGCCAATGGGTGTGTGGTTTCTTTTTGAGGTGGTGAAAATGTTCAGGAATTAGAAATGGTGGTGGATGTGCAACACTGTGAACATACTAAATCCACTGAATTGTATACTTTAAACAGGTATGTAAATTATGGGTATGTAAATTATATCTCAATAAAGCTGCTATTTAAAAAAGGAGGAACAGGTCACTTAGTGCTGATGTTTATTGTTAAGGCTCCAATCTTTTGGGTTCTACAAAATATACACCTGAAACACTCCAACTTGCTCCTTGATGATTACTCATGACTGGAAGGAGGGAAGTGGCCCAGATCAAAATAAGCACCATAAGCTTGACCAGGAAGTTCCTAAAGGCTCTATTCACTTCCTCCCATAGAACACCTAAGACAATGACTGTGTTTCTCAGTGTCCTTGATGCAAGGAAACTCACAAAAAAAATGGCCAATTCTGAAGGTGAATCACAATTTTGTTTTCAGAAAACAGAATTTTGTATATAACTATCTTTTCGGACTTTGCTGCTAGAAAATCTAAGTGGCAAATTTATTGTTTAAATTTTATCTTTTCCTCACATCAAGGTCCTAAAAGTTATCTACCTTCCCTGCTTCTATCTGATGGTCTCTATCATCCTTTAAATACTTCCTTTTATAATAAAGGATGTCTTTATGAGCAAACTGCTCTAAGTCCTTTTGGTTGCAAGAATGGTCCAATTCCAAAACAAAGACTAACACTCCTCCCATTTGCCATCTCTCAAAGGTTATGAGTAATGATTGAATCTGCACCTCTGCCTGATCTCTGGGTCTTTCTCCAAAGCAGAGATGTTCTAAAGGTTTCAAGGTGGTTGGCTTCCCTGACTCTGGGGTGTTTTACTAAATCACTGCTTGCCATGGGGACTGACAGAAATACCCAGGGAGCCACGCATGCTAGCCTCCCCACCCAGGCCCAGCTTCCATCTGAGACTGACCCTGGGCCTAGGCATCAGTTTAGTTTTCATCTACCTGTTCTCAGGCTAAGCAGATAGGCAATCTGAGGCTACAGAAAACAGCCTGGCAGATACCTCAGAAGAGCTACAGTAGCTTGCTTACCTACAGGTAAATAATAGGTCCTAATTTAGGGGAAGGAATCCAGGGAGCTGAGAAATGAAAGGATCCACATATGGTTGAAATGCTAGCTGCAGAGCGGAAGTGACTACCGCCTTGATCTCGTGCCTCTTAGCCTGGTGCTCTATCGTGCTCTTTCCACTCCAGAACAGGGCTCATCACTGCCCGCGTCTGTCAGGCCTCGGGCTGAAAAGGATCCGGAGAACACCAAAGGTCAGGTGGGCCAGGACACAAGGTGCAGGGCTCCCTGCTCCTCCCGAAGTTCAACACCACACTCAGAGGCAGCCCATGCTCCTGTGCTCTGTCTGGGCCCCATGGGGTCCAAAAACCACAGAGTTAGGCAAGAACCACACAAGGTTCAAGGGAAGTATGGCCTTGAACCATCATTCTTTTCCTCTGCCCCAGTTTATAGGGGTTACCAAACACAGAATGAGACATCAAAATGCTTTAGAGCAGGAAAGCCACCTCCAATTTCATAGGCTTGGCACAAGGCCCTAAGAGGAGAAGGAACTTGCTTAGGGTCATTCACTAAGTTAGTGGCAAAAATAAGATTAGCCTTCAGGTCTGCTCTGTTTTTTCCTTGGCTTTTTGACTACTGCTGCCCATGCACAGATGGACCTACAAAACTGGCCCAGACAGGAATAGCTGGAGGATTTTGCCTCATCAGAATGATGCAGTCTTTCCACAATGTTCCTGCCCTTGTGAAAGTCATTCTTGTGGCCTATGGGATTTCCAGTCACTCATTTCCATTCATGCAGCCAGAAGGGGACCCATCTTAGTGATGTCAGGAGCAATGGCAATTAATAAACGGAAGGTGCCTGAGAAGCAAGAATGGGCCCTGGGCAGGAAAAAGAGTCATTCAGCCCTACAGAAACTCAAACTCTAAAGTCTCATAAATGGAAGCAGCTATGCATTAATGTAAAAAGAAAAGTGGGAAACCGGCAACATGAATTCTGTATTGACATTTGGTTCTTAATAATAACATCCAAAATGCGTTCTGTTCTTATAGCACTGCATCTGGTCGAGGATATATGTTGCTGAAGGTTGCCGGAGTCTCCCTTGGGAAGTGGAGAGGAGCTGGTGGTGAAAGGGGAGGAGCTGATGGTGAAAGAGACACACTGATTTCTCTTTGGGAGCTATCTGCAGCTAGGTGGAGAGCTGCAGCAGGTGTCTTGGCTCTGATAAGGGGTGGGGAGGCTATCCCAGCCGGTCTGCAAACACATGAGCAGAATCCCTTGCCCCCAGCCTGCAAGAACATGGTTGCTGATGGGGACAGCGGTGGCAGCTCCAGGAGAATGGAGGGAAGCCTGGGATGTTACATTCTTGAGGCCTTCACAGGTACATGTCATCGTAGCCCGGCGGGGGGAGATGGTCTGGGTTAGGTCTGGAATGGAAAGAGGGGCTGATGAGTTGGAGTGATGGAGAGACCAGGGGAACATGGGCAGACATGACCCTGCACTGAGGGAGCCTGCCCTTCAACATGATGTGGCGGTGTGAGGAATTTAAACACATGCACTCAAGAGCCAGACAACCGGGGTTTGAATCCTGACTCCCCCGCTTGGTATAAGTTACCTAATCTTTCAGGGCCTCATTTTCTGCATCTATAAAATGTAGACGCCACCATCTACCCAAGACTGCTGAAGAAAGGATCCACTGAGTTTCTGCCACATACTTAACTTTCAAGAATTGTTAGTTCCTCCTACTTTGAGTCCTCCCCAGAGTGGAGCTGGGGAAAGAGAGGCACTGAGGGATAGGAAGCTCCTAGAAGGCTCCAGGGAGAAATCAGGCAGGGCCCTGGAGGAGGCTCCACTCTCCTGGCAGCAACAGGTGAAGGCAGCGGCAGCTCTGTGCCTGGGGCTAGAAACCTTCATTGCTGCCACACTGAACCAAGCTGCCATCAGGTCCTACTTCTCAGCATACCTGAGTGACTACGTACCCGGGTGGGCTGGTCCCAATGGGTCCAAAGGGGTCAAAGCGAGCTCCTGGGGGCACAGCGCCTGGAGGAAGTCGGTTCGGGAGGCCTGAGGAAGGGTCAATAAGTGCTCTTGGGAAGCCAGATCTCAGGGGATCCACAATCATGCCACCTCTCCGAGGCCTGAGGCAAGAAGAAAAGTTAGGTAAGCAGGTGTGGCAAGGACTGCCCTTGGAGAAAAGGCGAGGGAGGTTACAATGCACCAAGAATGGCTGGGATGTCTACTCTGGATGGCCCAAGCAGACATGTGGATGGCTGCCTGAGAGCCAGCGGAAAGTGGGCAAGGGCAAGAACACAAAGCCTATACGAAGAGCATACCTCACAGCTGAGTACTTCTGGCTCTGCAGGGGTTGGTTCTGCACAGTGCTTTTGGTTCTGTAGGGCTCCTCAAAATTGAGATCCCTGCCATATCATATACTCAAGAGGGCCAACTTGATCAAGACCAAGAGCCAGAACTTGCCAAGGTCAACTACAATGCACTCACAAGGTTCTGCAGGGTGCTACTTTAGGTTTAAGGACTAATTATAGCATTGAGGTAATTCGTGATGTTGGTTTTTTTTCTCTTTCCCTTAAGGGCCTCAGGGCAATTTCTGACTGCCTGTAGATTGCCTAAGTGTGGCTCCTGACAGCATCTGTCCCTCATGGAGTTCCACTGACCTGACCTCATGTGCTCAAACTAGGATGAATGAGCTGATGGTTCCCCAAATTTTGAGGTCACTGCTTAAGCTGCACTGCAGACTTAAGTGATATCCCCACTGTCTACAAATGAGATGCTGAAGTCGGGGTCACTTTGTAGCAGAGGTTAAAATCTATTTGGAATCATTCAGGGAAGACAGTGGATAGCAGAGGCTGTAGTAACTTTGTTGGATGCATAAGAACCATCCAGAGTCTAATGGGGCTCAGAGACTCCCTTTATTAAGTGGGGCAACCTCTGAATAGCCCTGAGCTGCCCTAAGGCCCACCATGTGCTCCTCACTATACATCTGATAAACTAGGGTGGGCAGGGGGACCGGGAAATGGCAGAAGAGCTGCCTGCTAGGCTTGTTCACCTCCCTGCCAACACTCAGTGCTCTCCTGCACCGCTCTAGGTGTGGAGGGGCAGCGTATGTGGCAGTGCTTTCTCAGCTGCTCAGCAACAACTGCCTCCTCCACCCCAAAGGAAGAGACTGACCGAAAACTCTAAAATTAGAAGATGAGCTGGGGCTGAAAAGCCACAAAAGCAAGTTGTGTTGCTGCCACCTCCCCAGCAGTACTCACCCAAAAGGGTCTAAGTCTTCTCCCCCGACAACAAACGGGCCCAGGGGATCACACCTGAAACAAACAAGAGACAATTACTGCAAGTCCCAGAGCAGCCAGGCACCTGATACATGTGGGATCACAAACACACTCACAGGCATGGGAAACCCTTGCATGAGACCATAGCACAAGGGATATTTCAGGGTGGTCCTTGGCTCAGATGAACAATGATAATCCTACAATGACAATTATGTAAGAAGGGCGGAACACAAACCTAAAAACATAGATTAAAATATTAAGTATTAATATTTTAAAATATTAATATTGGTAACCTCCAGATAAATTTTATTCACAACTTTCTCAGTTTCTTCAACTTTGTATAATGAACCAAGAAGTTTTACGTCAGAAAAATATTATTCTTAAACCCAAAACCAAAATCCCAAAGCTAAGATTTGAAAGCTTCCAAGGTGGAGACAGATGTATGGAGTCACATACAGCTAGAACAGTACTTCTCAACCTTTTTGTCAATATAGCCCCTGTATAAAATTTTAGTACTACAGATGTACTGTGTATCTGTTTATGCACTGTACCTGCAGGAGGGCCACAAACCACTGTAATCTCTAGGACTGCCCCCAACCCTAATAGCCGATTTCTGCCTTCATGGAGAATGCATGAGCTAGAAGGCACATAAATGACTGCATGCTTTCTGGAGAGTAATTCTATATTATCTCTGTAATATATATAGATATAGACAGACACAAAAATACACAGTCCTTCAAAAGTCTTATATGTCTTTTTTTTAAATGGCAGCACTTTTATTTTTTCTTACACAATGATGTGCTGCTAGGCCTAATGCTCTCACATAACAGTGAAAAAAAACAAAATTTGTTGTCATCTCTTAAAGACTCAAGAATTGCATACCAAAAAAACCTTACATAAATGAAAAGGATGAATAAATTTACAGGTGTAAATGCAAACCGCTTCCAACTCAAGACAAGTAACAGCCCATGGTGTTCTGGCAGGAAAACATCAGCTAAGAAAGGAAACTGGGTCCTACAGGCAAGACAGAAATGACAACTGGTTCAGGAGCCCTTGCCAGCCTCTAGAGAAATCCCAGAATACTCAGCCCTGACACATGAATACCCTGCACCAGTGGGAGACTGCCAGCCACACAGACCCCCCAAGCCATAGACTTGTCTTCCACAAGCATGTTCTTCACCTCAGCCATGAAGTGACCAAACCACATGCACTTAAGGGCTGAAATCAAAGATATGTAGAGTATTAAACAAATACCAAGAGAACAGTTAACTTGAATACAAGGTCAAAATCAGCAACAAGTTCTACAATCCACTGCTGATATCAGACACAAGCTTCAAGGACAAATTTCTTTCCAAAAGCTTATTCCAGTTTTGTGAGGCTGGCATGAGGTGTATACATTTGTCAGGGGCAAATTTATACGTGTGAATTATCCTATGCAGCAAATGCTACACATCTGCTTGTAGTCCATTTAGAAGCATTTGTGGTGGACATGGAGGGGCCCGACTTGTCATACTCCTGCTTGCTAATCCACATCTGCTGGAAGGTGGACAATGAGGCCAGGATGGAGCTGCTGATCCACACGGAGTACTTGCGCTCTGGGAGCACGATGATCTTGATCTTCCTTGTGCTGGCACCAGGGCAGTGATCTCTTTCTGCATCCTGTTGGAGATGCTTGGGTACATGGTGGTGCCACTGGCCAGCACCGTGTTGGCATACAGGTCCTTGTGGATGCCCACATCACACCTTATGATAGAGCTGAAGGTGGTCTCATGGATGCTGCAAAATTCCACACCCAGAAAGAAGGGCTGGAACAACACCTCCAAACACTGGAACTGCATGTTGCCAATGGTGATCACCTGGCTGTCAGGCAGTTTGTAGCTTTTCTCCAGGGAGAAGGATGACATAGCGGTGGCCATCTCCTGCTCAAAGTCCGGGGCGACGCAGCACTGCTTCTCCTTGATGTCACGCATGATCTCCCGCTTGGCTGTGGTAGGGAAGCTGTAGTCGTACTCTGTGAGAATCTTCATGAGGTGGTCAGGTCCTGGCCAGCCAGGTCCAGACGCAGGATGGCGTGGGGAGGGCATAGCCCTTGTAGATGGGCACCGTGTGTGTGACTCCGTCTCCAGAATCCATGACAATGCCAGTGGTGCGCCCAGAGGCATAGAAGTATGGCCTGGACTGCCACGTACATGTCCAGGGTATTGAAGGTCTCAAACATGATCTGAGCCATCTTCTTTCTGTTGGCCTTGGGGTTCAGGGGGCCCTCAGTCAGCAGCACCAGGTGCTCCTCCAGGAACACATGCAGCTTGTTGTAGGGTGTGGTGCCAGATCTTCTCCATGCCTTCCCAGCTGGTGAAAATCCTGTGCTCGATGGGGTACTTCATCGTCAGGATGCCGTGCTTGCTCTGGGCCTTGTCGCCCAGGTAGAAGACCTTCTGGCCCATCCCCACCATCATGCCCTGGTGTTGGGGGCACCTGACAGTGGAGGGAAACATGGTTCCAGGGGCGTCGTCCCCAGCAAAACCAGCTTTGCACATGCTGGAGCCATTGTCAATGACGAGTATGGTGATCTCTTCTTCCATTGTGATCGGTGGAGGAGCTGGGCGGCAGAGCGGTGGGAAGACATGGAGCACAGGCCAGCAGTAGTGAGTGAGACCCTCTTATATATCTCTCTATTCTTTGATCTGATAATTTTATGTCTAGGTATTCATTTTAAATAAAGAATTTAAATTAAAATATACTCACAAAGACATTAATCAAGGAAACTGCAGTCAGCCTGAATGAAGACCAGTTAGGAACATCATGGCAGGTCCCCAAGTGCAGCCATGGAAGCAATAAAAACCATGTTCTGGGAATGTTTTAAAAATGATGTGGAGAAATGCTCATGCTCTAGTGTTAAGTACTGAGGGGAAAGGGGGTCATCAATAGCCTAGGGAAATCAACGGTGAAAAACGTGTGTATGCAGGGTAGTGGTGGTGGTATGTATAATTACAACCAGAAAGAAGCGTACCGAGAGCGTAAACAGTGACAGTCACTCCTGGGTGGTGAGGGCTTTCTTTATACTTTCCTGTTTTTTCCGTAATGCATAGGGATATGGATATAATACAACACAAATATTTAGTATTTTGAAAGATGTGCTTTGGAATCTTCGCAGAGCCCTGGCAAGCAATACAAACCTGATAGTTCTGGGGCACTGGCACGTTCCTGCCAGACCTTGGGAAAGCCTTATAAACAGCAGCTAATCTAAGCTTACAGGTAAGAAGCCATTAATTAGAGAACCGGGAAAAAATCCAAAAGTAGGTGCTCCTCCAGTCAGTTCCACCTGATGGGCTGGAATCGCAGGATACTGTGATTTAAATGGACAAGGCCAGGTTTCCTAGGGAAGGAATTTTTCCTGACCTAGGTTACTGCTCCCAAGCCACAGTTCATGGAGCTAGCAGTCAAAGTTTCTAGCAGCCTCCAACATCCTGCCTAACTAGAGGCAGACCAGGTGGTGCCAGAGGGCAGTAAGCATCTTACCTGACTCCATGAAGTGCCCCCCCGCCCAGAGTGGCAAACATAGGGGGCTTCTAGTGGCTGATAAAATGCTTGGGAATAAAGATTGCTCTGAAATATGCAACCATCTCTATTTTTCTCTCTGGCCCACGAAATGTGGGGAAGAGAGAAGAAACAAGAGAACAAGAAAGGCTAGAAAGGCAGTTGCAGGCCAGGCACGGTGGCTCATGCCTGTAATCGCAGCACTTTGGGAGGCCTGAGGTGGGCAAATCACTTGAGGCCAGGAGTTCGAGACCAGCCTGGCCAGCATAGCAAAACCATGTCTCTAAAGGCCAAGTGCAGTAGTTCATGCCTGTAATCCAAGCACTTTGGGAGGTCGAGGTGGGAGGATTGCTTGAGTCCAGGAGTTCGAGACTACCCTGGGCAACATAATGAGACCCCCATCTCTATTATTAAGGAAAAATATAAAAAATTTTTAAAAAGGTACTAGAAACTGTAACAACATATTCAGTTGGCTCATATTCAACAAAGACTCACTGCAACACATGAAGACTTCTGTGACCTCATTATTTACACACTTAGAACCCATTTACTTCTTCTTTTTTTTTTTTTTGTGAGACGGAGTCTCACTCTGTTGCCCAGGCTGGAGTACAGTGGCACAATCTCAGCTCACTGCAACCTCTGCCTCCCAGGTTCAAGCAATTCTCCTGCCTCAGCCTCCTAAGTAGCTAGGATTACAGGCATGCGCCACCACGCCTGGCTAATTTTTTTATGAACTCAGAGTAAATAGTACAGAGGGAGGGGGTTCCGTCCTTCTCTAGATAGCCCCCTTGGCTGAGTCTCAGTCTTGCATGTGCTAAATGAGGCTCCAGGTATTTTTAAAATCATTTTCGTACATGGCCTCTGAACTCAAACCCCTGCTACTTCAAATGGTGATCAACTGAAGGAAGTGATCCACTCTAACCCTGCAGGAAAAACTGCATGGCTGAGCTCACTGGGTAGTATGTCGCTACTGCAAAAGCAGCCTCTTTAAGGGACTGGAAAGGGATCCTGAACACTCATGATTTCTTCCTTATGTGCTTCTCTTTTACATAAAAGCAACACACCTCGTTGGGCACACAAATCCAGCTGACACCCTTCTAATGGCTGAGGTGGTCTGGTGAACTGGAAAGGCCTCAGGACTGGGAGTCAGAGATGCGCTCTGGACATTGGGTTGGGAATTTTCCAGCTGGTTGGCAGGGGTCTGCCATGAAACTTCTGCACTTCAGTCTTTAAGATGTAAAATCTAAGTAGTAACACCCACAGGGCCTGCCATAATGATAAAATGTAGCATTGCAGGTGAACAGATTTGTTAAAGGAAAGACCTGGAAGAATGTAATAACAGCAGCTGCTGCGATTTACTGAGAGTTTGCTTTGTGTCAGATGCTGTGCTACAATTTGTTTAGTTTTTTTTTAATTTAGTTTTTAAAAGATTGACATCCACTAGCAAAATTTTTGCTTCCTATTCCCATGACATTGCGTTCTGCTGGCCTAGAGGTCTTAGTTCCAGAGGGAGGAACGCTGCCACCAGGAGACACAATAATTCCATTAAACTGGAAGTTAAGATTGCCACTTGATACTTTGGGCTCCTCTACCTTTAAGTCAACAGGCTGAGAAGGGAGTTACAATGTTGGCTGGGGTGACTGACCCAGACTATCAAGATGAAATCAGTCTACTACTCTAGAACGGAGGTAAGGAAGAGTATGCATGGAATACAGGAGATCCATTAAGGCATCTCTTAGTATTACCATGCCCTGTGATTAAGATCAATGAGAAACTACAACAGCCCAATCCAGGCAGGACTACAAATGATCCAGACCCTTCAGGAATGAAGTGACCCTTTTTGGGTCACTCCACCAGGAAAAAAAAAAAACGACCTGCTGAGGTGCTTACTGAAGGCAAAGGGAATACAGAATGGGTAGTAGTAGAAGGCAATCATCAATACCAGCTACGACCACGTGACCAGCTGCAGAAACGAGGACTGTAATTGTCATGAGTATTTCCTCCTTTTGTTAAAAACATGTTTGTGCATGCATACACTTAATTAAGAAAGCATCTTCATTTTATTTCCTTTCTCCTTTATCATGTGACATAAGGTTTACTGACTTTGTATCAGCATTTAAGTATTGTTAACTTTATGTAATAGTATTTGGGTTGGGGATTGGTGAGTTTCTAGTTGTACGAAGGATAGTTGTATTATGTTAGGCGTAATTATGACCTTATTTTGGCTTTATTTGAAGATTATGTATGATCTCAGGAGATGTGTATCAGTTCAAGTTGACAAGGGGTAGACATGTGATGGTTAATACTGAGTGCCAACTTGATTGGATTGAAGGATACAAAATATTGATCCTGGGTGTGTCTGTGAGGGTGTTGCCAAGAGATGAACATTTGAGTCAGTGGGCTGGAGAAGGCATATCCACCCTTAATCTCGTGGGCACAATCTAATTAGCTGCCAGAGAATATAAAGCAGGCAGAAAAACATGAAAAGGACATGACTGGCCTAGCTTCCCAGCCTACATCTTTCTCCTGTGTTGCATGCTTCCTGTCCTTGAACATCGGACTCCAAGTTCTTCAGTTTTGGGACTCAGACCGGCTCTCCTTGCTCCTTAGCTTGCCGACAGCCTATTGTGGGACCTTGTGATCGTATAAGTTAATACTTAATAAACTCCCCAATACATATGTATGTAGATATAGCCTATTAGTTCTGTCCCTCTAAGAGAACACTAATAAAACTATGAAACCTATTTTAGAGAACTGTCCATTATATTTACCCACATATTTACCATTTCTACCACTCTTCTTTTATACCTGATGTTTGAAGTTTCCATCTGGTATCATCTCCATTCTGTCTGAGGAACTTCCTTTTAAAACTCCTTTTGAGAAGATCTATTGACTATGAATTCTCTTAGTTTCTTTGTTAAGATATTCTTAATAATATCTTAATATCCTTTAGAAATGAAGGTGAAATATTCACTGGATATAGAATTCTGGGTTGACAATTCTTTTTCTCTCCATACTTTAAGAATGCTGTTCTTCTTTCTGGCCTCCAAGATTTCTGATGAGAAATTCGTAACCATTCAAATTCTTGTTTCTTTTTAAGCAATGAGTTGTTTTTTTCCAACTGCTTTCGAGACTTCTTTTTTAATCTTTTCAGCAGTTTGATTATAGGTTTGGGCATGGAATTCTTTAGGTTTATCCTATTTAGGGTCTGCTGAGCTTTTTGAATCTGTAGGTTTATGCCTGTTGCCAAATCTGAGAAGTTTTCAGCCATTACTTTCTTTAAAGACTTCTGTACTGCACTTTCTCCTCCTCTTCTCCTTCTCTTCCAGTGGCCCCAATGTTAGACCTTTTATAATTGCCCCACAGGTCCCTCAGACATTATTTTAAAATCTTTTTTTCTCTCTGTTGTTCAGATAGGATAATTTGTATTACCTATCTTCAAGTTCACTGACTCCTTAGTCAAATCCATTCTATTACTGATTTATGCAGTGAGATTTAAATTTTCTTACAGTATTTTTCAGTGCTAAAATCTCCATTTGGTTCTTCTTAAGGTCTTCTGTTTATTTGCTGACCTGTCTATCATTCCATTCATTTCAAGACTGTTTGCCCTCACTTGCTGGAGCATTTTCATAATAGCCACTTTAAAGCCTGTCAAATAATTCCAACATCTGTGTCATCTTAATACTGACATCGGTTGTCTTTTTCAGAGTTGAAATTTTCTTGGTTCTTTTATGCCCAGTAATTTTGGACTTTATTCCAGATACTTTGAACATTTTGGAAGAATCTTGATATTTTTGTTTTAGCAGGCAATCAACCTAGTTAAGTTTGGGCTCCAAGTTTTGCTTTCAATGTCAGTTCTGTTTGTATAGGCTTTACAATGCTACTAAGGTCTCCACCATGCATGTGCTATCCAGTTGTCAGTCTGGGACCTGAAGAGCCAGTTCTCCTGTACTTATATTCTAAAGTCTTTGATATGCTATTTAGAATCAGGTTCACTTATGTACAGCTGCAGGTAAGGCCATAACAACTTTATGGGGTGCTTTCTGAGCTCCTCCCGCTCTGTGGTCCACGCAGTACTTTCCATTTCCTTGGAAGGCTCCTTTTTGGGTCCTCTGAGCAGAAAGCTGGGGCTTTACCTGCTCTGCCATGTAGTTCCTACAACGGTGCCTGTGTCCAACATCAAGTGGAGGGAGGACAAAGGGAAGAAAAAAGCAACAGTGGTTTGTCTCATACTCTTGAGACCACAGGTCCTCTTGTTGGAAAGGAAGGTTCTTCCTCAGTTTTAGGTGTCTGCAGACTGCTGCAGGCTGGGATGTAAATGAATGGAGAAAAGGAAAAAGAAACACAGGAGATTTTTCCCACTCTCTCTGAGCATTTGTAGTGCCTTTCCCTGCTCCTTTAGCCAGAAGTGCAGGCCTTTCCTGGAACACTCTCCGTCCACGCCAATGTTCATTTCCTCACTTTGGGTTTCCCTGAATTTGGACTGCAGGATATCAGAGGGGAACAACGGTGAATTCACTGACCATTTAGCGGTACTTAAAACTCTGCTATTCTCCAATCTGCTTTCTCAATGAGGAGTTTTCATATTCTCAAATAGCTTTACTCTATGCATTCTGTAAGGCTGCACTGAATAGGAAACTCAGGATGGCATGTGCTTACTCTAGAACCAGAACCTTCTTTATCAGTACAGAATGCCAACATGGCTGCCTTCCCAGCTGCTAATCTGTACCTGTGGCTGATCACTGGGTGTGAACACTGTCTGCACACCAGGCTTCTGGAGTGCCAGCTGTGGTTTCGTGGCACAACTAGTATCAACAACCTAAATATTTTCAGACCCTAATCCCTAATTCCACAGCATTATTTGAACCACCTAGGCAAGTGCTGCTCAAACTGTCAGGTGCACATGAGTCAGTGGGGGATCCTGCTAAAATGCAGGTTCTCATTCAGAAGACTAGGAGTGGGACCTCAGATTCTGCATTTTTCACAAGCTCCCAGGTAAGCTGACACTGCTGATTTGGGGGTAGACTGTTTCCCAGTCAGAGTACAAATTCAGCCATGAAGTTTTGGTGTCTGAGTTTATTAACTTTGTCCAGCTAAGAGTGGAAACTTAGAATTGGGGAAATGAAGATGCTGATAACTGCAAAGAAGTATATGTGTACATATGCAAGAGAAGCACTGGTCACAGGGCCCTGAGCAAACAGAGCAATAAACCTTTCCATTTCCTTACCCTGAAGGATATCCTGTGAGATCAAAGCTGAACCAGGGACTGAGAAGGGTTGGGAAATGCTACATTTAAGCTAAGTGATCAAAGATTTTTAGAAGAAAGAAAAACAGAAAGAAAAAATATACATAAATTATGCTAAAAATTGTAAAGCATTCAGAACAGAAAAATGTCACCCATAATCTGACTCTAACACAATGATTACTTTTGCATTATTTTCATGTCTTCTTTCATAAGCATGTTTTAATGTGACTGTAACAATACTATATCATTTTGGATCTCATTGCTTTCCTCCACATAGGTGCTGTATTTCCTAAGTTGTCTTTACTATTAACATTTTTAATGGCCAAGTAATACATACTCAAGTGAAGCAAATTTTAAAAATTTACTTAATTTTCTATTGCAAGCACTGATGTTTCTGGGGTATGCATGCGTAACTACAAATAATACTGTACTTAATAACTTTCATGCACATGTTTTTTTTCTATGTTAGAAAACACAGATTTCTTATCCTCTGTCACTCCACTACTATATGATGGGAACAAAGAACTTGTTTCTTTGGTCAACTGATTGAAAGGAGTTGTGCTCAGGAGCCTCAACTGCACCTGACTGAGATGATTAGATCTTGGTCCTTCAAGCTAATGAGACTTAGATAAGATTTTAGACTGAGTTGATGTAGTAACGGGTTAAGACTCTTGGAAACCTCAGGGGAAGAAAGATATATTTCACATTTGAGAGGTCAGAGAACAGATTGTGGTAGATGGAATTCGATCCCCTCTCAAGACTCCACAACTCCTAATCCCCAGTACCTATGAATGTGATGAGAAAGCAATCCTATTATTGTTTCGTTGTATGGCACAGTTGACCTCAAAAGGGGACATTATCTCGGTGGGCTAATCTAATACATGGGAACCCTTAAAAGCACAGAACATGGATTGTGGAGGAAGAAGAATGCCCAAGAAGAGACTCAACACAGCACTGCTGGCTTTGAAGAGGTGGCAGACACATGAGAAGAAATGCAGAAGGTCTTATGGAGCTGAGGGAGAGGGATACGGACCTTAGTCTTATAACCGCAAGGAACTGAATTCTGCCAGTGACCTGAATGAGCCAAGCAAATCCATACTCTTGACCTAGAGAATTATGAGATAATAAGTGGGTGCAGTTTTAAGCTACTCATTTGTGGCAATTTATGATGCACACATATGCTGCAAACACTTTCCTCACTTTACTGGCCTTACACTTTGAGTTCAGTTAGCTTACAGATGTTATGAAGACAATGTTTTTCTAAGTAATTTAGAAGAATAATGAGACTGACTCCAGCATTGGTAAGGATAGGGAAATGACATTGAAACATAGTGAGAATGTCAATTAACACAACTGTTTAGAAAAAGGGCAACTGAGCAATCTGTATCAAAATCTCTATAAACAGGCTTGGTCCTTAATGTAGTAATTCTATAGGAATCTATTCTAAGGAAACATTCAGAGACGTGCTCCAAGTTGCATAAAAGTATGTCTACTGAAGCATTAGTTATGGCAGTCCCAAATCAGAAATGACAGGCTAAAAAAAGAACTTGCATTGTCCTTGAGTTTTCTTCCCTTCATTAAGCCAACCCATCAGCAAGTCCTGTCAGGTATACTTCCAAATATACCCCAGAGCCACCTGCCTTATATACCACCATAGTCTACCACCTACCACCATTATTTCTTGCCTGGCTGCCTGTGTCAGCTTCTTCTCTGGGTCTGTTTTTACTCTTGTCCCTCTATAATCCATCTCTACAAAGGAGCCAGAGGGTTATTTTGTTTTTTAATGTAAACAATATGAAGTCCCTCCCTTGTAAAACCTGTCCAGTGGCTTCCCATTCTCCTGATCTTGGCCCCATGGGTTATATGCATCGGACTGTGCTTACCCCATGGTGTCATCTCCTCTGTTTCTGCTCCACTGCTGTACTGTGTTCAAACCAGTATTTGGAGCAATCCAAGCCAAGTTCATTTCTTTGTTCTTGGAGCAATCCAAGCCAAACTCATTTCTTCTGAAACAACTGCCAATACATGTGTCAAAAGTTGGAAATACTAAGGGCTGAATCCTGCTCCAATGCTCATAAGATGTGTTGCTTTGGGCAAGTCAAGCTCTTGCTGCCTCAGTTTTCTTTTGCATAAAACAGAGATACCAAGAGCATCTACCTCATTCTCTTATGAGGCTTAAAAGATATTGTTTTACATATACTTTACATTTAATGTAACTGCTCAGCCCACAGTAAAAGCTCAATAAATATTAACCATGTTAACACGTCCACTGTCAGAATATGACTGGGATTCTTCAAGAGGAAAAAAAAAAATCCGTGGTTAACCGAGTCCCAACCACGTAACTTTTCAAAACATTGATGGCTCCCATCACCCCATGGATCAAATCCAGCTTCTTAGCACATACTGGCCTTGTGATTTGGCCCTCATGTTCATCTTTTCTCCCTTCACATGCTGACATGAGTGAAACAAAAACTCCCCCACTTCTACAAGATGATTTCATAGCCCCACTGGTACCCATCGTTCCCTCTGCCATAAAAGTCAATTACCCTCAATACCACAGAACTTTTATTGGTCCTTTAAAATTTAGCTCATCAGGCATCATCTCTCTGAAAACTTTCCTTCTATCCTTCAGATTAATCACTCTTTAATGTGCTTCAGCAGATCTCAGACATACTTCTACCATTGTTTTAAAAAGATTTATGATCTGGAATGAAAAGGGCAATTAGCCCCTATCAACTGTGAGCTCCTTGAAGGCTGGGTCCACACCTCATGACATATTCCCAGTAAGTGGCACATGATGGACACTTAGATTGATTTGGGCATAAGACTCAAGTCCAAATTCTGGCCTCACCATTTCACAGATGTGTGACCCAGGGCAAGTTAGAAAATCTCCAAGCTCTAGCTTTCTCTTGTGTAAAATACAGACAATAGTATCTATTTCACAGGGTTGTTATACATATTAAATGAGAATGCTTACAAAAGTGTAGTGCCTGAGTCCCATAAGTAGAATTCAATAATTTACTATTATAACACAACTTTTGCTTCTTACTGTTGTGAAGTTACTTACTGTACATGAACTTCAGCTTCCTTACCTGCAAAATGGGGATAGCCCTTACCAATCTCATGGAATTGTTGAGGGGATTAAATAAGAGCACATGGATTAAATGCCCAGCATTTGTCTAGAATCAATGGCACTGAATAAACAGTAGCTGTATAAATGTTATTGAACTTTGCTATCCACAGGAAAAAACCAAAGGGATATTATGTGACTCCAAGGCGAAAGGAATGAAAACAAATTTTAAGAATAGAGAATAGTTGCACAAGTAATGAAAAATGAAAATTAAATTATTAAAGTAACATAGGTAGAGGATAATCTTTTCAAAATATGGTGCTAGACCAACTGGATATCAATGTGGAAAAATATAAATCTCACACCACACATAAAAAATATTTTAGATGGATTATAGATCTAAACATAAAAGGTAAACCATTAAAGCTTCTAGGAGAAAATATATGAGGATTTCTCCATGACCTTGGCATAAGGCAAAGACTTCTTAAACAAAAATCAAAAGAGCACCAAACATAAAGGGAAAAGCACTGATAAGCTAGATTACATAAAAATTAGGAATGCTTTAACAATAATTAAAAAAAACCATTAATAGGGTAAAAGGGCAAGCTACAGAGGGGAGGAAGACATTTGTAATACATATATTTAATGAAGGACTTAAATTCAGAATATATTATATAAACAATGCCAACAAGTCATAAAAAGACAAGCCAATAGAAAAATGAACAAGAGATTTGATTACCTCTTCACAAAAGATGAAATCCAAATGGCTAGTAAACTTCGAGAAAAAAAAAATTTTAATGTGGCTCATGGACTCCTGTCCCATGAGGTCAAAACTATTCTATCTCAGAAGCTATTTGCTTTTTTTTTGCTGTGTTGACATTTGCACTGACGGTGCAAAAGCAACAGTGGGTGGAACTGCTGATGCCATAGTATGACTCAAAGCAGCAGCACTAACCTGGCCGTTATTGCACCCTCCCTTACCACTCACTCACCCACATCCAGCTTCACTTTAGAATGTACTTGATGAAGAGGTATAGATTGTCAAGTTTTGTAAAATTTCAATCTTTGAATATGTCTTTTTAATATTCTGCGTGAAGTGGGAAACGGGCATAAAGCACTTTTTTTTTTTTTTTTGAGACAGGGTCTTGCTCTGTTGCCCAGGCTGGAGTACAGTAGTGTGATCATGGCTCACCACAACCTCCACCTCCTGGGCTCAAGCAATCCTCCCACCTCAGCCTCTCAAGTAGTTGGGACTCCAGGGTCACACCACCACATCCAGCTAATTTATAGAGACAGAGTTTCACCATGTTGCCCAGGCTGGAGTACAGTGGTGTGATCATGGCTCACCACAACCTCCACCTCCTGGGCTCAAGCAATCCTCCCACCTCAGCCTCTCAAGTAGTTGGGACTCCAGGGTCACGCCACCACATCCAGCTAATTTATAGAGACAGAGTTTCACCATGTTGCCCAGGCTGGTCTCAAACTTCTAGGCTCAAGCAATTCACTTGTCTCAGTCTCCTGAAGTGCTGGGATTACAGGTGTGGGCCACCACACCTGGCCTTGCATAAAGCACTTCTACTGCACACAGAGGCACAATGTTGTCATGATGAAAAGTACTTGTGCAGTTGTTCAAGCTGCTGGCTGAAGCAGTCATTTTTTCAAAGAAAACAGTTTTTTGTTTTTTGTTTTTACTTGAAAGAATGACAAACCATGCTTATTCAACTTGGCTACATAGCGGACATTTTCTCGAAAAGGATGTGAGCCCATTACTTCAAGGAAAATAATGAATGCTATTTACTGCCAATGAGAAAATTCAAGTTTTCAAGCAAAAATTAGCAATGATATTGTATAATAAGATGTGTCAACTTTGAGCAGATCTGCATATCTCAGTGAATCAGTATTTTCCAAATGACCAAAATACACGATCTTCTACAATAGTATTATACACGGGTAAAAGGTCCATTCAAATGGCATGATAGACCAGCAGATTTTGATGTAACAGATATATAACAAGTTCACTGGTATGGATTGATTCCACATTACAACTAACCCTTACAAAAACTACTACTCGTCAAGTTGGTTTAACAGTAAAGAATATCTAGAATTATTTGAAAAGGTTATTAAACTAGTCCTCTTTTTTTCCAACAACTGATATGTGAAAGGCTTCAATGAAAACAACATATCCCCTACAGACTGAATGCAGAAGCAGAAATGAGAATCTAGTTGTCTTCCATTAAGCCAGACATTAAAGAGATTTGCAAAATGTAAAAGAATGTTACTCTTCTCACTAAATTTTTTGTTTTGAAGAGATATTTTCACAGGAATTTGTTATTTATATTAACACATAATGGGCTTATTTTTAAATGAATGAATAAATGTGTATTTTGAAAATATCATTTGTAACTGCTAATGCAGTAAATATTGCTACATATAACCCATATAAGAGCTCTCTGGGGTCCTCAATAATTTTTGAGAGTGCTAGAGGGTTCCTGAGAACATAAAGTTTGAGGTCCTCCAGTGTAAGTAATATAACTCAAGGAAGTAAAAGAAAAAAAAACCTAATACACAGGGATGTTCATAGCTGTATTAATCACAAATTAGAAATGCTTGACATACCCCATAGAAGTTATATAAACCATAGCATACTAGCAAAATGAAATATCAGATACTAAAAGAGTTATGTTTGGCACTTTAGTAAATGGATTATGAAATTTAAAAAGAAAATGCAAAATGCAAACTATTTGGAACATTTAAAAATATGTAAAGATACAGATTGGTTGGGATTAAAAATGAATTCAGAATGACATAAATAAGAGCTTTATATCTAAAGATTTATTTTTAGAGAAGCTGGTTAAGCATAGAAAAAACTGTTTTTTACAAAACATGGAGCAGGATTTGGGGCATACAGTCTCCTGACTATCAGAGGACAGATGAAGCAAAAGGAAATAGGTTAGACTTATAATGATAATGAAAAGTTAGGCTGGATAAAAAAATATTTTCCTTACAGATGGTTGTTTTCAGTAATTCTTTCCTAGACTTCTCAGGAGTAGAAAAGACCTGCCCACCTCCAATCTTCCACTACAATGGAATGTCCTCTCTAGCTATACTCCTAGCCTAGACGCACCCAGTATCACAGCAGACCCAGAATCTTTTGACAAGCTGCAGCCATACATCACTACACACACAGGGAAACAAGTCTCTTTACGCTCTAGGGCAGACAATTCCAACTTTAGTTTGTATTTGGAAATTTCCAGGTGTGAGAGAGGCAAAACAAGAGTGTTTAAGGTGAGGGGTGAGACACTGGACTGTGTCCTATGGGAAGGAGCAGAGGCTGATATTTCTGCTCCGAGCGCCAGCCAAGGGTGTTCAGTGATGGGATAATTAATACTCTGCAGCAGCCAGAGAGGCCAGCTTCTGTGCTGCTTTTTGCCTCCTTCCTGCTGTGGCCTCCCCCCAAAACTGGGCATTTCAGGGAGAAAGGAAAAGGTGGAAGTGTGAGTGCCTGGTTGCTGAGCAAAGTGGTGGTGATGGGAGCTATAGTAAAGAAATCAGGGTCAACACAGCTATCTGAGCTCATGGACAAATGGGGCTGGCCAAGGAATAAGCAGGGAGTGGGGGCAGAGGCAGGTGAGGTGATTACAGAGGGGAGATCTGATAGGCTGTCAATTTGCTAGAGGCTAAGAAAAAGCCTCCTAAACATTCTGCCTCCTCTTCCAACCATCTCTCCAGTTCAGTGCCTTACTCTTGTGAAATAGATCTGCCTCAGAAAGACTTAATTGAGGAGGAGAAAGGGGATGGGCTTCTCCATAATCAGTCTACACTACATTGAATTTGTACACCACATTGCTTATTACATGAACTAACGCTGACAGGTGCAGTGGGAAAAGCATAAGCTGCTGAGTTAGACCCACTTCGGGGTAAATCCCAGTGCTCACCCTCCCAGCGAGATAACGCTGAGAAGCTACGTTACCTCCCTCAGCCACTGTCTCTTCCCCTGTAAAGTGGGGATGCCACTGATCTTCTTGTAGGGCTGTCCAGAAGATAAGCAACCATAAATTAACACACTCGGTTCACAGGCCAACGCATGGTGAACAGCCAAGAAAGGGAAATTACTTCTGTCCTCAACACAGGGTGGTGATGATGATGATGATGATGATGATGATGATGATGATGATGATAACGGAAACAATGTCCATAATGGACCTGGGCCTGGGCCTAAATACTTGCCCAACACCCGCTCTGGGCTGACACTCTCACACCTAATCCTCCATCAAATCTGTTTTGGGGGGAAGATGGTAGGTATTTAAAAAAAATAAAACAAGGTTCTCTCTTGAGAGACCCTCTACTCATTACACCTTCACATTTGTTCTCATCTTTGCCAGCTACCTGAATGGGCATCCACTGAATATTTTTTTCCAGTGACCAGTTACTAGACCACTGAATATTTACTGAATGTCAACATGTGATATCCACGATCACATTCAATCCTACAAAACCTTTGACACAGCTATAATTATTCCCAAGGTGCAGATCAGAAAACTGAGGCTTCAAGAGGCTAAATGTGCTGAGACAGGGAAAGGTGTAAGCTCAGGGTATGAACCCAGCTGATCATTCTTCAAAGCCTGTGTTCCTAATTGCCGCAAAATACTCTCCTTGACGTGGGGGGAGAGGTGGGGCAGGGAAGGAAGGGAACCAAGTCCTTCCTTCAGAGCGATATGGAGGAGGGACAAGCTCAATCTTCTGCCTGATCCTCTCCAACCCACCAGGCTCTTTAGCCAAAGGCACTGTTGCCCTCAGAATCCTTCAGTGGTTTCCAACTGTCCACAGGGAGATTCGTGTACTTCACATCAGGGGCTTCCCCAAATCTGGCCCCACCCTCCACAGCTGGTATATGCTAGGATTCCAGACAAATCATTTTTGTCCAGCTAAAGTTCAGGGACAGCCCCATGTTTTTAGACCTTGATGCCTCTAACCTACTGTTTCCTCAGCCTGGAACAACCTTCTCCCTAAAAAAAAAAAAAAATCTGTTACGTAGTAATTCAGACACATGAAAAGGCAGAAAGAGAGTTTAAGAAATAATTCCCTTTCCGGTGAAGACACAACTCAGGCAGCACTTCCAAGTAGCCTTTCCCAGGATACTCATGAAGTATCTCTGTGCTAACCTCTGTAACAGCAATTATCTCTCTAACTCACCTATTTCCCATGCCACAGGGGAAGTGCATGCCTCTAAAGCAGGGGCCCAACCCTAGGATCCCTGAACCCACAGAGAAAAACATTTGCTGAATAGAGGACTCACCAAAAATGTACAATGCACAGGTCCAAGCAATGGGTGAAAACACAGAGCAAAGAAAATATGCGCTTGAAAAAAGCCAGTAATCTTGGCATCAGACAAAAATAACTGAGTGGTGGTACTGTCAGAAGTGGGGTAAACTCCAGAGATAGAGGACCAGAGGTTTCTGCCAACCAAAACCAGGTTGGGGCAGGACTTGCTGGACCTGCAGCAGTCCAGTGCTTGGCTGGTATCCTTCTCATTTTCTGGGCCTAGTAGAATATCCACATGTTCCCCAAAGCCTCCTCAGACCAAAGACTCAGAGCCTTCACTTAGTAAAGATTCACTGAACTGAGGCCCACATCACTTCTTGGTAATTTTCTACCCTGATAAGGAGTATTGTATCCTTTCCCTTACCCTAAGTGGGGAAGCTTGACCTGGTCTCAGCAACCCACTTAACGACCCCTGCCTGGCTCTAGCTCCACTGCCTGTCCTTCCAGGGCTCTGCACAGGACAGGCTTTCAGGCTAAGATGCCCTTTCTGCCCTACTCTCTGTCTGGCTAACATCTCCTCCTTATTCTTTAGGAGCCTGCTTAGTGGTCAGTCCCTTCCTTGGGGAAGCCTTCAGGTAAGGCTCAGATTCCTTTTCCTATGTGCTCCCAGTCCATTGCTCATCCCTGACTAGGTATGAGCGAGCAGGACAAAAGGCCTCACTGGCCTTTATGAAACACTCAGGGCTAGATCCACTGTCCCCCTACACAGAACTGAATAAATACCATGGACTTAAGAATCTAAGTGGCTCTTCAGCATCTAAATTTTAAAAACCCTTTTATTGTTAAATAATTAAAGATTCACAGGGGCCCAGGAACAGGGGCTTATGCCTATGATCCCAGCCCTTTGAGAGGCTGAGGTGGGCAGATCACTTGAGGGCAGGATTTTGAGACCAGCCTGCCCGACATGGTGAAACCTCGTCTCTACTAAAAATACAAAAATGAGCTGGGTGTGGTGGCAGGCATCTGTAATCCCAGCTACTCAGAAAGCTGAGGCAGAAGAGTTGCTTGAACCCGGGAGGCGGAGGCTGCAGTGAGCCGAGATCGCACCACTGCACTCCACACTGGGTGACTCTGTCTAAAAAGAAAAAAAAAGATTCACGGGGGTTGGAAAAACAGCACAAGAGGTTCCAATATACTTCACTCAGTTTCCTCTAATAGTTAAACCACCACAAAGATCTCTCTCATGCTACTCCCCTTAATAACCACACCTACAGCCCTGCCCTCATAACCCCTGGCAACCACTAATCTGTTTAGCGCCTCTATAACTGTGTCATTTTAAAAATGTTATGTAAGTGGAATCACACAATATGTGACCTTTTGGGAATGGCTTCTTTCACTCAGCATAATAACTCTGATTAACCAAATTGCTGTGTTTCAACAATTCATTCCTTTATGCTGCCGAGTGGTATTCCACAGTATGGATAAACCACGGTTCCTTTAACTATTCATCACTGGAGGAGGCACATCAGATTATTTCCAGCTTTTGGCTATTACAAATAAAACTCTTCTGAACATCTGTGTACAGGTTTTTCTGTGGGCACAATTTTCATTTTTCTGAGATAAATGTTCAGGAGTGTGATTCCTGGAGCTAACTATTATGTACACGTTTAGTTTTTTAAGAAACTGCCAAATGATTTTCCAGAGTAGCTGTAACATTTGACATGCCCACCAGCAGTGTACATGATCCAGTTTTTCTGCACTCTCTCTAGAATTTAGTATCATCACTATTTTTAATTTTGGCTATTCTAATAGGTGTGAAACTCCCATTGTGGTTTCATTTGCATTTCACCTAGCTTAATGGCTAACAATGCTGAGCATCTTTTCATTGCTTCTTTGCCATCTGTACATCCTTCTCAGTGTACTACCTCTTCATATCATTTTTCCATTTTTTTCTTTTTTTGGGGGGGACGGAGTCTTGCTCTGTCACCCAGGCTGGAGAGCAGTGGTGCCATCTCGGCTCACTGCAACCTCCGCCTCCCGGGTTCAAGTGATCCTCTGCCTCAGCCTCCCGAGTAGCTGGGACTACAGGCATGCACCACCACACCCGCTAATTTTAGTATTTTTGAAGAGACACGGTTTCACCATGTTGGCCAGGCTGATCTCGAATTCCTGGCCTCAGGTGATCCAACCACCTCAGCTTCCCAAAGTACTGGGATTACAGGCATGAGCCACCATGCCTGGCCTTCATTTTTCCATTTTCTAATTGGATAGTTTCTTAAGCTGTTGATTTTGAGAGTTCTTTATCTAGATATGAATCCTTTGTTGAATATATGGTTTCCAAGCATTGCCTCCCAAACTGTAGGTTATGCTTCTATCCTCTTAACAGGGTCTTTCACAGAGCAAAAGTTTTAAATTTCAATGAAGTCCAATTTAGCATCTTTTTAAACACTGTGCATTTAGTGCTGTATCTAAGAACTCTTCACCAAGCCTGAGACACTGAAGATTTCCTCTTGTGTTTTCTTCTAGGAGTGCTGTGGTATTGTATGTTACATTTAAATCAATGATCCACTTTGAGGTCATTTTTATAGAAGGTTAAGGTCAAGGGTCATATTTTTGCTTGTGATTATCCAATTGCTCCAGCATCATCTACTGAAAGACATTCTTTCCTCCATTGACTTGTTTTTGCACCCTTGTCAAAAGTTGGCTGGTCTTAGTTCTGTGTTCACTATTCTGTTCTACTTATCTATATGTCTGTCCCTCTGCCAATTCCACCATCTTGATTACTTTAGCTATATAATTAGCCCTAATATTGGGTAGAATGATTTCTTCTACTTTATTCTTTTAAAAAATTGTTATAGCTATCTTAGATTCTTTGCCTTTCCATATAAATATTATCTGCTGTATCTTGCTATATCTGCAGAAATTCTTGTTGGGATTTTTGATAGGAATTGCATTAAAATAGTGTATCAATTTGTGGAGTATCTGACATTTTTACTATGCTGATTTTTTAATCCATGAATATGTTATGTCTCTCCATTTATTTAGATCTTCTTTGATTTCTTTCACTAGCATTTTGTAGTTTTCAGTATAAAAATCTTATACAAGTTTTGTTAGAATTATACCTGCTGGAGAGGATGTGGAGAAATAGGAACACTTTTACACTGTTGGTGGGACTGTAAACTAGTTCAACCATTGTGGAAGTCAGTGTGGCGATTCCTCAGGGATCTAGAACTAGAAATACCATTTGACCCAGCCATCCCATTACTGGGTATATACCCAAAGGATTATAAAACATGCTGCTATAAAGACACATGCACATATATGTTTATTGCGGCACTATTCACAATAGCAAAGACTCGGAACCAACCCAAATGTCCAACAATGATAGACTGGATTAAGAAAATGTGGCACATATACACCATGGAGTACTATGTAGCCATAAAAAATGATGAGTTCACGTCCTTTGTAGGGACATGGATGAAGCTGGAAACCACCATTCTCAGCAAACTATTGCAAGGGCAAAAAACCAAACACTGCATGTTCTCACTCATAGGTGGGAATTGAACAATGAGAACACTTGGACACAGGAAGGGGAACATCACACACCGGGGCCTGTTGTGGGGTGGGGGGAGGAGGGAGGGATAGCATTAGGAGAAATACCTAATGTTGAATGATGAGTTAATGGGTGCAGCACACCAACATGGCACATGTATACATATGTAACTAACCTGCACGTTGTGCACGTGTACCCTAAAACTTGAAGTATAACAATAAAAAAAAAAGAATTATAGCTGAGTTATTTTAGTTTTTGTTTTGTTTTGTTTTGGGAAGGAGTCTCGCTCTGTCGTTCAGGCTGGAGTGCAGTGGTGTGGCGCGATCTCAGCTCACTGCAACCTCTGCCTCCTGGGTTCAAGCAATTCTCCCACCTCAGCCTCCCGAGTAGCTGGGATTACAGGCGTGCGCCACCACACCTGGCTAATTTTTCTATTTTTAGTAGAGACGGGGTTTCACCATGTTGGTTGGCCAGGCTGGTCTCGAACTCCTGACCTCAGGTAATCTGCCCTCTTCGGCCTCCAAAGTGCTGGGATTACAGGCGTGAGCCATTGTGCCCAGCCTATCTGAGTAGTTGTTGAACAACTATAAACAGTACTGTATTTTAAATTTCGTTCCACGTGTTTATTGCTAGTATATAAAAATACAATTAACTTTTGTATGTTAATCTGGTATCTGGCAACCTGGTCAAACTTATTTTTATTATTATTTTTGGTAGATTCCTTGGGATTTTCTATGTAGATCATTATGTCATCTGCATATATAAACTGGTTTATTTCTTCCTTCCTTATCTGTATGATAATTCTTTTTCTTGTTTTAATGTGCGGGCTAAAACTTCTAGTATTATGCTGAATAAGAGTGGTCAGAGCGGTTATCCTTGCCTTCTTCCTTAGGGGGAAGGCATTCAGTAGCTAATTTTAAATAAATCACGTTTGCTGGTATGATGATGAGTCCTTAAAATATTGTTTAGGTACTAACAAACCACTCTTCAGCTGAAGAAAAAATATTAAAAAGAAAAAAAAAGCCCCAGTCATGGGCAGTTATTATCAATTCTCTTGGACTATGGTTTGATCTGAAGGAAATAATTTCTATCATTATATATTCATGTTTCCAATTAACCCAAGTCTAGGACTTTTGTAAAATACCCATTTTTTATAGCTTTATTGAGATACATTTCACTTATAAAATTCAACCAGCTAACATGTATAACGCATGGTTTTTAGATGTTCACAGAATATGCAAATGTTCTAATTTCAGAACATTTTCTTCACCCCAAAAAGAAACCTGGTACCCATTAGCAGTCTCTCCTCATTCCTGCTTTCCCATCTTCCACCTCCACCCTGGCAACCATTAATCTGCTTTCTATCTCTATAAAGTTGCCTATTCTGGACATTTCACATAAATAAATCATATATAGTCTTTTATGACTGGCTTCTTTCACTTAACGTGATGTTTTAAAGGTTCATCCACATTATAACAAATCCTTCATTTTTATTGCTGTAATATCCATATTCAGTTGTAAGCATATATCATATTTGCTATTCATCAAATGATAGACATTTAGGTTGTTCTTACTTTTTGGCTATTGCAAATAATACTATTTCTTGGTTTGGATTTCCATTTCCCTAATGACCAATGTTGTTGCACACCTTTTCTTGTGCTCATGGACTATCTGTACATCCTCCTTGGAGAAATATCTACTCAAATCCTTTGAACATTTTAAAATTGAGTTTTCTTTTGTATTGTTCAGTCGTAAGAGCTCTTTATATATTCTGGATACAAGCTTCTTGTCAGATATCTGATTTGCAAATATTCTCTCCCATTCTTTGGGTTATCTTTTCAGTTTCTTGATACTATCCTTTTATGCACAAAATATTTTAATTTTGACAAAGTTTGATTTGTCTATTTTTTCTCGCTGCTTGTGCTTTTAACCTCCCAGGTATTGTGTCTAAGAAACCACAGTCTAACTGAAGGTCAGGGAATAAGACTACCCAAGGTAGACTTATTTCTAGGTCTAGAAATTTTATAGTTCAAGCTCTTACACTCAGGTGTGTGATTCATTTAGAGGTAATCGAGGAAGGGACCCAACTTCATTCTTTTGCATGTAGATATCCAATTGTCCCAGCACCATTTGAAAAGACTATGGTTTCTCTACTAAATTGTCTTGGCAACCTTGCTGAAATCAATTCCCTATGAATGTATGGGTTAATTTCTAGACTCTCAATTCTATTTCCTTGCTCTATATGTTTATCCTAATGCCAGTGCCACACGGTCCTGATGATTGAAGCTTTGTAATAAGTTTTGAAATAGGGATCTGGAAGTCTTTCAACTTTGTTTTTCTTTGAGATTGTTTTAGCCATTCTGGTTCCCTTGCATTTCTACCTGAATTTTAGGATCAGCTTGCCAATTTCTGGGGGGGAAAAACCCAAAACCTGCTGGGATTTTCACTGGGATCGCACTGAATAGGTAGATCAAGTGGGGAGTATGGCTAATATTAATTCTTCCTAGCCGTGAGCACAGAATGTCTTTCCTTTACTTAAATCTTTAATTTCTTTCAACAATGTTTTACAGTTTTCACTGTACAAATCTTACACAATTCTTTCCCAAATCTTTCACAATTCTTCTTTTGTTAAATTTATTTTTACGTATTATATTCTTTTGGGGGTTGTTATAAATGGGATAATTTCATTAATTTTTAGATTGTTCATTGCTAATGTACAGAAATACAACTGATTTTTATCGTTTTTTTTTTTTTGAGATGGAGTCTCGCTCTGTTGCCCAGGCTGGAGTGCAGTGGTGCAATCTCAGCTCACTGCAAGCTCTGCCTCCCGGGTTCACGCCGTTCTCCTGCCTCAGCCTCCTGAGTAGCTGGGACTACAAGCACCTGCCACCACACCCAGCTAATTTTTTGTATTTTTAGTAGAGACGGGGTTTCACCGTGTTAGCCAGGATATCAATTTTATATCCTGCCACATTGCTGAACTTGCTTAGTTCTGTTTTTCGGAGGATTCCTTAGGATTTTCTGTATACAAGATATCACGTCATTGACAAATAGAGGTATTTTTACTTCCTACTTTCTAATCTGGATACCCCTTATTTTTCTTGAGTGATTGCCCTGGCTAGAATATCAAGTACAATGTTATATAAAAGTGGCAAAAACAAAAGCAAACATGCTTGCCTTGTTCCGGATCTTAAGAGGAAAACACTCCATCTTTCTCCATTAAGGAGAATGTCAGCTGTGAGCTTTTTGTAGATGCTCTTTATTGGCTTTAGAAAATTCCCTTCTATTGTTGTTTTTTGTTGTTGTTCTTTTCGTATGTGTGTTTTCTGACACAGTCTCGCTCTGTTGTCCAGGCTAGAGTGCAGTGGCGTGATCTCGGCTCACTGCAACCTCCACCTCCCAGGTTCAAGCGATTCTGCCTCAGCCTACCGAGTAGCTGGGATTACAGGCATGCACAACCATGCCCAGATTATTTATATATTTTTAGTAGAGACAGGGTTTCACCATGTTGGCCAGGCTGATCTTGAACTCCCGACCTCAAATAATCCACCTGCCTTGGCCTCCCAAAGTGCTGGGATTACAGGGGTGAACCACCATGCCTGGCCCCTCCTATTGCTGAATTTGTTGTTTTTTTATTTGCTTTTGTTTGGTTTTGTTTTTTTTTGTTTGTTTTTGAGACAGGGTCTCACTTTGTTGCCCAGGCTGGAGTGCAGTGGTGTGATGACAGCTCACTGCAGCCTTGACCTCCCAGGTTGAAGTGACCCTTTCACCTCAGCACCCTAAGTAGCTGGGACTATAGGTATATGCCATCAAGCCTGGCTAATTTTTAATTTTTTTTGTAAAGACAGGGTCTCACTATATTTCCCAGGCTAACTGAATGCTCCTGTCATGAAAGGGTGTCAGACTTTGTCAAATGCTATTTTTCTATCGAGATGAACATGTAGTTTTTATCCTTTGTTGTATTTTTTTTTTTTTTTTTTGAGATGCAGTCTCTGTTGCCCAGGCTGGAGTGCAGTGGCGCCATCTCAGCTCCCTACAACCTCCACCTCCCGGGTTCAAGCGATTCCTGTGCCTCAGCCTCCCAAATGCAGGGATTACAGGCATGAGCCACCGGGCGCCTGGCCTCCTTTGTTCTATTGATATGGTATCTTAACACTGATTTATTTTCAGATGTTAAATCAATCATTCCTGGAATCAATTTCACTTGGTCATGTTATATAATCCTTTGTATATGTTGCTGGATTTGGTTTGTTAGTACTTTGTTAAGGGTTTTCATATCTGTATTCATAAAGGATACTGGCTTGTAGTTTTCTTGTCATGTCTTTGGTACTGGTTATCAGGATAATACTAGCTTCACAGAAGAAGCTGGGAAGTATTCCCTCCTCTTCTATTTTTTGGAGGACTATGTGAAGAACTGGTATTAATAAAAACTCCTTATTAAGGAAATTTTTTAACATACCAAAAAATAGTAAGAATAGTATCATGAGTTCCTGTGTGTATTCCCGCCTAACTTCAATAATTATCAATAGTCCACCATTCTTATTTTACTTATACTTCCCCTCCCCAACACCTTACTCTTTTGGCGGGGGCTGAAATTATTTTAAAGTAAATCCCAGACATATCATTCACCTTTAAATACTTCAATGTATATCTCTAACAGATAAAGACTTTTTTTAACATAAGCAGAATTATTTCACCTAACAAAACTGGCAGTAATTCATAATGCTATCTAATACCTGGTCAATGCTCAAATTTCCCCAAATGTTTGAAAAATAATTTTTTGAATTAGTTTGAATCAAGATCCAAACAAGGTCCAACACTGCATTTTAGTTGGTATGACTCTTTCCACAAGAGCCTCCTTTTCTCCCTTTTCTCCCCATGCGATTAATTTATTTGTTGAAAAAACAAGGTCAATTTATCCTATATAATTTTTCCATATTCCAATTTTGGATGTTGTATCCTCATGCACCTGTTTGACTCATTCTTCTGTCCTTCATATTTTTAAACTGGGAGTTAGATCTAGATTGAGGTTGCTGTGAACTTACTATTGCATAATATTAGAAAACAGTATCTGGCTATCCCACTTTTAGCGTTAAGATTAACCAATGGGTTCAGATGCTACTCGCCAGATCCACCTAATATAAAGTCCCCTATCGACCTTTACTTAATAGTTTTATCAACCATTGACAATTTGTGACTAGGTACATTATTTCAGCAGAAGTTGCAACATGGTGATTTTCTCATTCTCTCAGTTCTTCCAAGGCTAGGATTTTTACTTTCACAATTCTATACTCTACGTCTATGATTCCCAAATAGGGAAGCATAGCCTCCAGGTGCCATAGTGCAAGCCCTGGGGTCATTTTTGCTTGTCATAGTAGTTGGAGGGCGTTCTTGGCATTTACAGGCAGAGACCAGAGATGCTGGATGTTCTACAATTCATAGTAGAGTTTCACGAAATGAAGAATGACCTGCATCCCACACAATTTTCAAATGTCTTGTTAGATACTCATGGAGGTGTAAAGCCTAAATAAATTATCTGAATGTAAGGCCATTTTATATATGAACACTAAGTATTTTTTTCTACTACTTTAAAACAAGCACATTTTTCCAGGAATGTAACTATGGTATAACTGAAGAAACAATATTCAATCACTATTTTGTTTGCAATTCTCCTAACAGCTGTTTACCATTTCAAAAAAGTCATGTTAGTAACAGCAACAGAGTTTTGTGGTATTTGAGTTGTTGACATAATACATCTATATACAACAGCCTTTGTCACTGTTGAATTCAAGATAATTCCACATACAGGTGTAAACATCCATGCTCTCCAGTGTACTCAGGCACCTACGCATGGAATACACATCATCATCTTATCAATTACTCTCTTTTTCTAATTTATGTTATAGTTAGGACTTTATACTGATTTCCTCTGAAATGTGCATGAGGTAAGTTAGAATACCTATGAATTCCATTTCAATATAGTAAGGGATATTTCACAGAATACTTGTTTTGAAATGGGCATTGGGTCTAATAAAGCTGAGAATTACTATTTACTTTAGGTCTAAAATTTTTTCCCAACTTGACTTCTGACCAGGGCTTATTCTTAAATCTTTCCACCATGGAAAGGTGGTTAGATCACATCTGTTTACATCACAGCCAGAGCACTGTGCAGGGAGTAAGGACACCTAGACCCCAGCCCTGGCTCTGCCTCTTTATTAGTGGCTGGCGAACTCAGGCAGGTCATCTTATCTCTATTCCCTTTGGTAAAATAAGATATATCAGACAAGCCATTTTCAACCTTTTCAACCACTTTTTCTTATTCTCCATTCTCTTCACAGGACTCAATATTTTTGGTAAAGATTTTGCCAAAGAGATACGCCAATCATTACTTGGAATAATTAAACTGATTTCCCATTTTTAGCTAACTAAAGGCATATAATTGCAAACCAGAATAAAATAACAATGGTAGTCTACATTTATTAAGTGCTTATTCATGTCCCTCACAGTGAACTCTGTCCCTTATCCCTACCAACAGTATGGTATCACAGTACGGGCTCCAAACTGAGAAGTGCTGTCTCAGCTAGAGACTAGGGTCCCCTGGTCCTTGTCTCCTCCCTCTGAGCAGAAGTCTCCAGTCCTAATGCTGCCATCCTAATCTGCAAAAACCTTGGAATGTGACTCACTCACATCCCATGCTATTTTGGAAAACTTCTGAACTTGATAGTGAGATTGGGGGACTACAATGAAATGAAATGGGCAAGACACTGGGACTGCATCTCCTCTGGGCTAGTACCTCTACATGTTTACATTTTCTCAGAAAGACTGGCCCAGGGCCCTGTCTAGACAAAAAGCTCTGGAATGAATTAGCTGTGAATTACCTGGGCAGCAACCTTAGACTACTGCACATAAGCCCCAGAGGCACTGATCCTTGGACAGACTCAGGGGCTCTGTGTGGCCCCTAGAAAGAAATCAGGCAGGCTTAGGATTTTGGGTAATTAGGGTGACTAGTAGCAGTTCAAGAACTCACTGCTCCACTTACGTCTCCACTTTCTAACTCCATGCACCCCAAGACACTGATCATTTTGTTGAAAACACATACGGGCCAGGGATGGGGTCAAGTGGCAGGATGGGGATAGCTGGCTGGAATCCCTCTACAGAAGCATGGGCTTCCCGCTAGGCACTCTGTACTCACCAGGGAGGCTGCCGACTGGTGTGTGGGTGGTGTGGAGGAATCCGGAGTGGGTCCACCTCTCTGGCGGTAGCAGGGGGGAACTCCCGGTGGGGACTGCTTACATTAGCCTTTTCCCACTGCTCATGGATAGGTGTGATGATTCCAGACACAATACGAGACCGAAGCTCCTCACTGTTCTTGTAGGTCCTGCAGGAAGCAGATGAAGAGTCAACTGCTTGCAGTTGGCTAGGAACCCTGGAAGTGGTATTCTGGCTGCAACGACGGCGGCGGCGGCGGCCCTGATAGCTCCTGGCATTGCGCTTGGCCTGTTTATAAGTGGGGGAACAGGCCGCCTGCTGGACCTGGGTGAGGGGGGCAACAGCCCCACGCTGTCTCTGAGATTTGGGCCCAAGCTTCTTAGGCATCTGAGTTGCCCCTCCTTGTTTACCACCCCATTAGAAAGAGGTGAGGGTGTAGGGGCACAGGGCCTGGATTGGCTACTCCTCTGTCCTCACCCGCCTCACCCCTCCCTCAGCTTCATTGTGTGTTCATCACGTGTCATGGGAAGGGTCATGGAAGGCAAAGGCTCCATGGGGAGGATGAACCAGGTTCCTGTTCCAGGCAGGCAGAGCTCTGGGGGTTCAAGGTCCAGTTCTGTCACTAACTCAGGGGTCCTCGGAAGGCTGCCCCTACCACCTGTCCCATCCTGCCTGGGCCTCTTTTTCTATGCCTGTGAGAGACAAGTGACGTGAGCCACAGCTGAGGTGTGGAGGCAGGCTGAGGTAACAGAGTGGGCAGGACTCCAGGCTTCCTAAAACACTGGTATTTTAAAATGAACCACATCCTGGCCCATAAAGCAAAGCTCACAAATGTAAAATAACTGAAATCATATAAAGTATGTTCTCCAACCATATGGAATCATAACAGAAATCAAAACAAAAAGTTAACTCTCTAAATACATGAAAATTAAGCAACATACTTCTAGAAAATCCTTGGATCAAAGTCACAAAAAAGAAATATATAGCACTGAATTAAAATGAAAATAAAAACATACGAAAATATGTGGGATATAACTAAAGGATTGCTGAGAAGAAACCTCATAGCACTAAATGCTTACATCAAAATAGAGGAAGGAATTCAAATCAATAACCAAAATTCTGACCTAAAGAACCTAGAAAAAGAAGAGCAAATTAACTCAAAGCAAGCAGAAGTAATAAAGGTAAGAACAGAAGTCAATAAAAAAGAAAAACAAGAGAGAAAATGAAACAAAGTCAATTCTTCAAAAAAAAAGAATAAAACTGACCAACTCCTGGCGAGACTGACAAATACAAAGAGAGGACACAGTCACCAATAACAAGAACGAAACAGGAGATATTACAATAGATCTGTAGCCACTGAAAGGATAATAAGAGAATACTAAGAACAACTTAATCCAACAACTCAGAATAGACCAATTCTTAAAAACCATAAACTACAACTCAGCCAAAATGAAATAGATAATCTGAATAGTTCCATTAAAGAAACTGAATTACACTTAACATTCTAAAAAAATAAAATAAAAAAACAAAAACCAAAAATCTCCAGGCTCAGATGATTTCAGGAAGAATTCTACCAAACATTCAAAGAAGAATTAACACCAATTTTACAGTCACTTCTAGAAAATATATGAGGAGGGAATACGTTCCAATCCATTTCATGAGACCAGTATTACTCTGGTATCAAAACCAGGCAAAGACTACACCAAAAAAAAAAAAAAAATATATATATATATACACATATATAGACTAGTATATCCTATGAACTTACACACAAAAAAAATCCTCAACAAAATATGAGCAAATTGAATTTAAAAATGTATAAAAAGAACTATATGCCATGACCAAGTATGATTTGTTCTAGGCATGCAAGACTGGTTAATAGTCACAAATCAATCAACGTAATCTACCATATCAATAAGCTATGGAAGAAAAATCATATGATCATATCAATTGATACAGAAAAAAGCTTTTGACAAAATCCAACATGATAAATCCATTCAAGATTAAAAACTCTCAACAAACTAAGAATAAAGGGGAACTTCTTTAACCTGATAAAGAACATTTACAAAAAACCTACCCCTAACAATATACTTTACTGTGAAAGACTGAATGCTTTGCTCCTAAGATTGGGAACGAGGAAAGCATATTCTTTCTCATCACTCTTATTTAACATAATATTGGACATCCTGACCACTGCAATAAGGCAAGAAAAACAAAAGGCATTCATATTAGCAAGTAAGGAATAAAACTGTCCCTATTTGCAAATGACATGATAGTCTACCCTGAAATTCCCAAGGAATCTACCAAAAAAAAAAAAAAACAAAAAAACCCTAAACACCTTGAATTCAGCAAGGTGACAGGATAGAAGAGTTCAACACAGGAAAATCAACTACATTTCTACACACTAACAATGAACATTTGAAAACCAAAACAAAGGACAGAATATGCCATTCATAATCATCTCCCTTTCTGCTTTAAACAAATAACAAGCTATGTACAGGATCTATATGTTGAAAATTACAAATGATACTGATGGAAATCAAATAAAACCTAAATATTAATAAATGGAGAGATAAGATATATCATGTTCATAGCAAGAATGTCAATTCTCCCCAAACTAATCTATAGGTTTAATGCAACTCCTATCAAAATCCTAGCAAGGTTTTTCATAGATATACACAAGCTTACTCTAAAGTTTATATGAAAAGGCACAGAGGCCAGGTGCGGTGGCTCACGTCTGTAATCCCAGCACTTTGGGAGGCTAAGATGGGTGGGTCACGAGGTCAGGAGATCGAGACCATCCTGGCTAACATGGTAAAACCCCGTCTCTACTAAAAATACAAAAAATTAGCCAGGCATGGTGGCACGCATCTGTAGTCCCAGCTACTCAGAAGGTTGAGGCAGGAGAATCACTTGAACCCCGGAGGCAGAGGTTGAAGTGAGCCAAGATCACACCACTGCACTCCAGCCTGAGCCTTTTTGAGACACAGTGAGACTCTGTCTCAAACAAAGAAAAAAAAAAAGAAAGAAAAAAGAAAAAAAAGAAAAGGCACAGAACCTAGAATAGCTACAACTACCTTGACGAAGAAAAAGTGGGAGGAATTATTCTACTCAATATTAAGGCCTACAATAATCAATACTGATAGAGTAATATTGACAGAGGAAGAGACATAGAGATCAATGGAAAAGAACAAGGGATCCAGAGATAGATCCACAGATGTACAGACAACTGATTTTTGACAAAGTTTCAAAAGTAATTCAATGAAGGAATAACAAATGATGTTGGGGCCATTGGACATCCATGGGTAAAAAATGAGCTGCTTGCCTGCCCAAGCTGGGTGGGAGGGTAAATTCAAGTCTTCTTTCCTTTTAATCAGATCAGAGGGAGGCCTCTGATCTCCCTAGGCATGTGTAAAATTCAGGCCTGATTAAAAAACCACCAGGTCCTGAAGGAGAAGTTCTCACACAATTTCTAAGCCTTGAAAGAACAACTGCCATTTTGGTTGTGGCAAAAGACAGCCTACCATCTCATCCGACACAGAAAGGGTACAGCAGAATGGAACACAATAGGTTTATATTTCTTAGCAAATCACAGTTTGCTCACTGAGGAGCACAAATTGCTGGAAGAGGCAAGACATGCCACAATGACCTAATAAAGAGGGCTACATGGAGGAAGCTATGGCTGAAAGGCATAGGAGGGAGACAGGGCCTCTGATCAGGAGGCAGAGCCATACCTCAGCTTTCACCGCCCATTTCCACGGAGATGACTCCTGGTGATCACATTTTTTTCCCCTTTGTGTATTTTACTAAGAGCTGGACTAAGCGCTAAGCACTCTATGTGCTGACATCTCATTCCATTCTCAGAAAAACCCTGAGGTAGTACTATTGTGTCCCTCATTTCACAGTAATCAAAAAACAAAACAAAACACAACACATATCCCCTCCCTCACACACAAACCCCTCAAACAAATGTACTTAAAAAACAAATAGAGACAGGATCACAATTCTCTTTCAGTATTGCTGAACAGACGGAATGCTCTAATGAGCATGAATGGCCAGTATAATTCCTAGGTTCTTCCACAGGTTTTGTCAATTTCTCTCCCAGTGGAAGTCCAGAGTGAAGAAGTCAAGAGACCACACTCCAAATGTCCCTCCCTTACCCACTAAGAGGGGCCAGGGTGTCAGGGAGTGTGCAACACCCAGAGGCGCGGCATTCTGCCGGCCAGGCCTGGCTCACTTCCCCCTTTCCTCAGAGGCGCAGCATTCTGCCGGCCAGGCCTGGCTCACTTCCCCTTCCCTCCCTTTGTCTATTGCATGCAGAAGACACCCAAACCCTGCCCTCAAGGAGATCACAGGCAAGGAGGGAAGACCAACCCTAAGAAGGTAAATGTAAAATATCTGATGGATTAAATGCTTAAAAAATGATGTTTTGATCCAGGGCAACACAGCAAAGACCTCATCTCTACAAAAAATAAAAAACTGGCTGGGCATGGTGGCACATGCCTGTAGACCCAATTATTTGGGAGGCTCAGGTGGGAGGGTCACTTGAGCCCAGTAGGTTGAGGCTGCTTGGCCTGTTTATAAGTGAGCTGATTGTGCCACTGTACTCCAGCCTGCCTGGGCAACAGAGGGAAACCTGACTCCAAAAAAAACATTTTACTAAAATGTTTTGAAGCTGTAAGCCTGGGGGCCAGAGGAAGCTTCTCTAAGGAACTGACGTTTAAATCGGTAACCAAAAGATAAACAGGAGTTGGCTACGTGAGGTCAGGGAGAGCACTTTAGACAGAGGGAAGAGGTCTGAAGAGGGCAGAAGAATGACACTGTGGCTGAAGCACAGGGATGCGGGGAAGGCAGTACAAGGTGAGATTGAAGGGGTGAATGCTTTAAGGCCTCATCAAGGATTGTGCTCTTTATCCTAACAGCAATGAGTATTCCCTAAAGACTTTTAACTGTGGTAAAATATGCATAAAATTTACCATCTTAACCATTTTTAAGTGTTCAGTACTGTTAAGTACATTAACACTGTTGTGCAATCACCTACCATCCATCTCCAGATCTCTTTTCATTTTGCAAAACAAACTCTGTACCCATTAATCACTAACTCCCCTTCCTATTCCCCTCTTGCCCCAGTATCTGGCAACCACCATCCACTGTCTGTCTCTACAAATTTGACTAATCTAGGTACTTTTAATAGAATCACACAGAATTTGTCCTTTTGTGAATGGCTTATTTAATTTAGTATAATGTCTTCAAGGTTCATCCATGTTGTAGCACGGGCCAGAATTTCCTTCCTTTTTAAAGCCGAATAATATTCTACTGTATTTACATACCAAATTTTGTTCATCCATTCATCTTATCAATGGACAGCCAAGCTGCTTTCACCTTTTGGCTACTGTGAATAATGCTTCTACGAACATGGGTGTACAAATATCTTTTCAAGACCTACTTTCAATTCTTTTGGGTATATGCCCGGAAGTGGACATGCAGGATTATACGGTAATTTTTTGAAGAACTGTCATATTGTTTTCCATAGTGGCTGCACCATTTTACATTCCCAAGAGTGCACAAGAGTTCCAATTTCTCCACATCCTTGACAACGCTTGTTTATTTTCTGGTTATTCTGATACTACCCATCGTAATGGGTGTGAAGCAGCATCACTGAAGGGTTTTAAGCCAGAGTTGTTAACTATGATCTGATCTATGTCTGAAAGACTGGTCCAACTGCTGCGTGGGAAATACACTGGAGGGTGGCATGCAGGAGGGGAATATGTAAAAGACCTCCTCACACAGAAGCTGCATGGAAGAGGGGAGGAGAAATGAGGAGTGGCCAGAATGTGGAGGCCAGTGGTTTGAAAGTCTGTGAGGACTGGAATAGGTTCAAAGAGGGTATTGCTGATTAGATACTATTAAATGCAACAGGGTTTCTGGGCAGTTCTGAGGTTCGGTTAAGGTTTGATAACTGTGCATTTATAGTGATGCCAAGCTCACTCTAAAACTCTGAGGGTGGCTAGGTGCGGTAGCTCACACCTGTAATCCCATCACTTGAGGTCAGGAGTTCGACACCAGCCTGGCCAACAGCAAAACCCTGTCTCTATTAAAAACGCAAAAATTGGCTGGGTGCAGTGGCTCACGCCTGTAATCCCAGCACTTTGGGAGGCCAAGGCAGGTGGATCACGAGGTCAGGAGATCGAGACCATCCTGGCTAACATGGTGAAACCCCATCTCTACTAAAATACAAAAAAAAAAAATTGCCAGGCGTGGTGGTGGGCACCTGTAGTCCCAGCTACTCGGGAGGCTGAGGCAGGAGAATGGCGTGAACCCGGGAGGTAGAGCTTGCAGTGAGCCGAGATCGCGCCACTGCACTCCAGCCTGGGTGACAGAGCAAGACTCCGTCTCAAAAAACAAAACAAAAAAACGCAAAAATTAGCTGGGTGTGGTGGTGCACACCTGTAATCCCAGTTACTCGGGAAGCTGAGGCAGAAGAATTGCTTGAACAGTCACACTGTACTCCAGCCTGGGTGACAGAACTAGACTCCACCTCAAAAAAATAAAATAAAATAAAAAATAAAACCCTGAGGAGGTCAATGAAGATGGGGGGAAAATCCCTATAATGGAATAAAGCAGACATAAATCAGCTTAACTATATATAAAACAGATAATTTCATTATACTGATTTTAAAAACAAGCACTAATCTAAGTACCTTTGGAACACACTACTCTGCCTACATCTTTTGTGGAACATAGTTAAAAGACAAAAAGAACTGGAAATAAGTCATTTGGAACTTTACTTAATAGGTTTGTTCTTGGTAGGCACTGATGTAGCAATTCAGAAAATATTTGTGTGTATTCTAGGATCAAATAAATAAGTAAATACATTGATGCTGCTGGGAATCAGGGTTCTCACCACAGGAGAAGGGAGATATAAGTATGGAATAAGAGAAAAAGAATCCTGTAGTGTTATATTAAAAACAGAGGTGGCAATTTAAACTTATAAGGAAAAATTTTCCTAGCTCTATCTGCTGAAAAGGTCTAGAATCATACTACTGTATGATACCAACTATGTGACACTCTAGAAAAGGCAAAACTATGGAGACAGTCAAAAGATCAGTGGTTGCCAGCAGTTAGGGAAAAGGGAGTGAAGAATAGGAGAAGCACAGATTTTTAGGGTAGTCAAACTATTCTGTGTGATACTATGATAGACACACATTCTCATCTGTTTGTCAAAACCCACAGACTGCACAACAGCAAGCTTGAGCCCTAATAATGATGTGTCAATGTAGACTCATTAGTTGTAACAAATGAATCATTATGTATGGGATATTGACACAGGGAAGCTGTAAACTGTGGGTGTATGGGAGCAGGAGGTAATATGGGAATGCTCTGCACTTTCTGCTCAATTTTGCTTGTACCTAAAACGACCCTAAAGAAAATAATTTTTTTTTAAATAAGTTGGAGATTGGGGTTGGGGACCCAATGAGGCACACATCCTCCCAGGAGTCTGCTCTGACTGAATGAGTTGCCCGGGCTCCACCTCTACTCTGCAGCCACCACTGCACTTGTGGACTCTTGACTGCACCATCTTGTTTCATGTGGCATTTCCTATGGAAGTCTCCTCTTCAAATACATAAAAAACAGAAAAGAAAATTAGGAAGTTGTGCCCAGAAATAAAAGGTTCTTCCATTCACCTTCCTTAATTTTCTGGACACATCCACCCTATTCCTCATATCTTGCCATTAGTTCTCTCTTCTTTTTCCCAGGGAAGAGACATCATTTAGAAGTACCTGTGGAAGTCACCCAGGTGTTCTGCATCGATATAATCATCCAAGTTCAGGGTCAAGTCTGCCACTTGCTGTGAGCCATATTCCTAGATGGGTGAAAATAGAAAGTGAGAGACTGGGATATTTCTGGCTAAGAGTGGGAGGGTGAAGGGAGAGTAACAAAGTCTTCAACCTAAAGAAATATTCACATATGTCCACAGAGACATATATAAGGACTGTTTATATGAAATACCTTCCTAAGGCTTGGAGACTTCTCTGATTTAGGAATATTGCCTTTCCAAGGCAGAGACTAAAACACCTACTTCCCAGGCTCTTTTGCAAAAGGGCTCAGGCATGGTAATTGAGGTGTTGAACTGATGCATCAACTTTGATCTGCAGGTGAGCAACACGGAGATGCAGACCCAGCAAGGGGCAGACATCTTGCTAATGAGGGTAGCACAGAGGCCAGGGGGTCACATCAGCAGCTTAAGAGAAGGGTGCACCAGGGCAGACAGAATCAGCCAGTATCTAATACTGGGCAGTGGTGGTGGCAGCAGTGGTTTCCGGGGCATGATTTGGGACACTGCTTCT